>NC_000001.11:122237466-122503147 GCF_000001405.40 Homo sapiens | reverse complement strand
TCTGTCTTGTTTTAGGATGAAGTTATTTCCTTTACGACGATAGGCCTCAAAGAGGTCCAAATCTCCACTTGCAGATTCTGCAGAAGGAGTGTTTCAAACCTGAACTATCAGAGAAAGTTTCAACACTGTGAGTTGAATGCAAGCATCACGAAGAAGGTTCTGAGAATGCTTCTGTTTAGATAGGTGAGTTTTCTCCCGTATCCAACGAAATCCTCAGAGAGGTCCAAATATCCACTTGCAGATTCTACAGAAAGTGTGTTTTGAAACTGCTCCATCCAAGGGAATGTTCAGCTCTGTGAGTTGAACTCAATTGTCACAAAGTGTTTCCTGGGAAGGCTACTGTCTAGTTTTTATGGGCAGTTATATCCTCTGCTGCCATAGGCCTCAAAGCGGTCCAAATCTCCCCTTTCAGATTCTACCAAAAGTGTGTTTCCAAACGGCTCTATCAAAGGGAATGTTCAACTCTGTGACTTGAATGCAATCATCACAAAGCAGTTTCTGAGAATGCTTCCATGTAGCTTTAATGAGCAGATATTTCCTTTTCCACCCCAGGCCTCGAAGCCCTCCAAATGTCCCCTTGCAGATGCTAGAAAGAGAGGGTTTCAAAGCTGCTCTATCAAAAGGAAAGTACAACTCTGTGAGTTGAATGCAAACATCACAAAGAAGCTCCTGAGCATGCTTCCGTTTAGCTTTCATGGGAAGATTATCCCTTTTCCATCGAAATGTTCAAAGAGGTCCACATATCCGCTTGCAGATTCCACCGAAAGAGTGTTTCCAAACTGCTGTATCAAAAGGAATCTTCAACTCCGTGAGTTGAATGCAATCATCACAAAGAAGTTTCTGACAATGCTTCTCTCTAGTTTTTATGTGAAGATATTTCCTTTTCCACCACAGGCCTGAAAGCGCTCCAAATGTCCACTTGGAGACTCTACGAAAAGAATGTTTCAAAACTGCTCTATGAAAAGCAATGTTATACTCTGGGAGTTGAACACAAGCCTCACAAAGGAGTTTCTGAGAATGCTTCTGTTTACTTTTTACGTGAAGATATTCCCGTTTCCAAAGAAATCTTCACAGACTTCCACCTATCCATTTGCAGATGCTAGAAAAAGAGAGTTTCAAAACTGCTCTATCAAAAGGAATGTTCAACTCTGTGAGTTGAATGCAGTCATCACAGAGAAGTTTCTGAGAAGGCTTCTGTCTAGATTTTATGTGAAGATATACCCGTTTCGAACGAAGGCCACAAAGTGCTCCAAATATCCACTTGCAGGTCCTCCAACAAGAGTGTTTCAAACGTGAACTATCAAAGGAAGGTTCAACTCTGGACTTTGAATGCAAACGTCAGAAAGATGTTTCTGCGAAAGCTTCTGTTTAGTTAGGTGACGTTATCCCGTTTCCAACGAAATCCTCAGAGAGGTCCAAATATCCACCTGCAGATTCTGCAAAAAGTGTGTTTCCAAACTGCTCCACCCAAAGGCATGTTCAGCTCTGTGAGTTAAACTCAATCATCACAAAGTATTTTCTGAGAATGCTTCTGTCCAGTTTTTACATGAAGCTGTTTCCTTTACTACCGTAGGCCTCAAAGCGTTCCAAATCTCCACTTGCAGATACTACGAAAAGAGCGTTTCAACCTGAACTCACGAGGGAAGGTTCAACTCTGTCAGTTGAATGCCAACATCACAAAGAAGTTCTGGGAATGTTTCTCTTCAGTTATGTGAGTTTTATCCCGTTTCCAATGAAATTCTCAGAGAAGTACAAATATCCACTTGCATATTCTACAAAAAGTGTGTTTTGAAAATGCTCCATCAAAAGATATGCTCACCTCTGTGAGTTAAACTCAATCATCACAAAGAATTTTCTGAGAATGCTTCTGTCTTGTTTTAGGATGAAGTTATTTCCTTTACGACGATAGGCCTCAAAGAGGTCCAAATCTCCACTTGCAGATTCTGCAGAAGGAGTGTTTCAAACCTGAACTATCAGAGAAAGGTTCAACACTGTGAGTTGAATGCAAGCATCACGAAGAAGGTTCTGAGAATGCTTCTGTTTAGATAGGTGAGTTTTCTCCCGTATCCAACGAAATCCTCAGAGAGGTCCAAATATCCACTTGCAGATTCTACAGAAAGTGTGTTTTGAAACTGCTCCATCCAAAGGAATGTTCAGCTCTGTGAGTTGAACTCAATCGTCACAAAGTGTTTCCTGGGAATGCTACTGTCTAGTTTTTATGTTCAGTTATATCCTCTCCTGCCAAAGGCCTCAAAGCGGTCCAAATCTCCCCTTTCAGATTCTACCAAAAGTGTGTTTCCAAACGGCTCTATCAAAGGGAATGTTCAACTCTGTGACTTGAACGCAATCATCACAAAGCCGTTTCTCAGAATGCTTCCATGTAGCTTTTAGGAGAAGATATTTCCTTTTCCACCCCAGGCCTCGAAGCCCTCCAAATGTCCCCTTGCAGATGCTAGAAAGAGAGGGTTTCAAAGCTGCTCTATCAAAAGGAAAGTACAACTCTGTGAGTTGAATGCAAACATCACAAAGAAGCTCCTGAGCATGCTTCCGTTTAGCTTTCATGGGAAGATTATCCCTTTTCCATCGAAATGTTCAAAGAGGTCCACATATCCGCTTGCAGATTCCACCGAAAGAGTGTTTCCAAACTGCTGTATCAAAAGGAATCTTCAACTCCGTGAGTTGAATGCAATCATCACAAAGAAGTTTCTGACAATGCTTCTCTCTAGTTTTTATGTGAAGATATTTCCTTTTCCACCACAGGCCTGAAAGCGCTCCAAATGTCCACTTGGAGAATCTACGAAAAGAATGTTTCAAAACTGCTCTATGAAAAGCAATGTTATACTACTGGGGGTTGAACACAAGCCTCACAAAGGAGTTTCTGAGAATGCTTCTGTTTACTTTTTACGTGAAGATATTCCCGTTTCCTAAGAAATCTTCACAGAGTTCCACCTATCCATTTGCAGATGCTAGAAAAAGAGAGTTTCAAAACTGCTCTATCAAAAGGAATGTTCAACTCTGTGAGTTGAATGCAATCATCACAGAGAAGTTTCTGAGAAGGCTTCTGTCTAGATTTTATGTGAAGATATACCCGTTTCGAACGAAGGCCACAAAGTGCTCCAAATATCCACTTGCAGGTCCTCCAACAAGAGTGTTTCAAACGTGAACTATCAAAGGAAGGTTCAACTCTGGACTTTGAATGCAAACGTCAGAAAGATGTTTCTGCGAAAGCTTCTGTTTAGTTAGGTGACGTTATCCCGTTTCCAACGAAATCCTCAGAGAGGTCCAAATATCCACCTGCAGATTCTGCAAAAAGTGTGTTTCCAAACTGCTCCACCCAAAGGCATGTTCAGCTCTGTGAGTTAAACTCAATCATCACAAAGTATTTTCTGAGAATGCTTCTGTCCAGTTTTTACATGAAGCTGTTTCCTTTACTACCGTAGGCCTCAAAGCGTTCCAAATCTCCACTTGCAGATACTACGAAAAGGGCGTTTCAACCTGAACTCACAAGGGAAGGTTCAACTCTGTCAGTTGAATGCCAACATCACAAAGAAGTTCTGGGAATGTTTCTCTTCAGTTATGTGAGTTTTATCCCGTTTCCAACGAAATTCACAGAGAAGTACAAATATCCACTTGCATATTCTACACAAAGTGTGTTTTGAAAGTGCTCCATCAAAAGATATGCTCAGCTCTGTGAGTTAAACTCAATCATCACAAAGAATTTTCTGAGAATGCTTCTGTCTTGTTTTAGGATGAAGTTATTTCCTTTACGACGATAGGCCTCAAAGAGGTCCAAATCTCCACTTGCAGATTCTGCAGAAGGAGTGTTTCAAACCTGAACTATCAGAGAAAGGTTCAACACTGTGAGTTGAATGCAAGCATCACGAAGAAGGTTCTGAGAATGCTTCTGTTTAGATAGGTGAGTTTTCTCCCGTATCCAACGAAATCCTCAGAGAGGTCCAAATATCCACTTGCAGATTCTACCGAAAGTGTGTTTTGAAACTGCTCCATCCAAAGGAATGTTCAGCTCTGTGAGTTGAACTCAATCGTCACAAAGTGTTTCCTGGGAATGCTACTGTCTAGTTTTTATGGGCAGTTATATCCTCTGCTGCCATAGGCCTCAAAGCGGTCCAAATCTCCCCTTTCAGATTCTACCAAAAGTGTGTTTCCAAACGGCTCTATCAAAGGGAATGTTCAACTCTGTGACTTGAATGCAATCATCACAAAGCAGTTTCTGAGAATGCTTCCATGTAGCTTTTAGGAGAAGATATTTCCTTTTCCACCCCAGGCCTCGAAGCCCTCCAAATGTCCCCTTGCAGATGCTAGAAAGAGAGGGTTTCAAAGCTGCTCTATCAAAAGGAAAGTACAACTCTGTGAGTTGAATGCAAACATCACAAAGAAGTTCCTGAGCATGCTTCCGTTTAGCTTTCATGGGAAGATTATCCCTTTTCCATCGAAATGTTCAAAGAGGTCCACATATCCGCTTGCAGATTCCACCGAAAGAGTGTCTCCAAACTGCTGTATCAAAAGGAATCTTCAACTCCGTGAGTTGAATGCAATCATCACAAAGAAGTTTCTGACAATGCTTCTCTCTAGTTTTTATGTGAAGATATTTCCTTTTCCACCACAGGCCTGAAAGCGCTCCAAATGTCCACTTGGAGACTCTACGAAAAGAATGTTTCAAAACTCCTCTATGAAAAGCAATGTTATACTCTGGGAGTTGAACACAAGCCTCACAAAGGAGTTTCTGAGAATGCTTCTGTTTACTTTTTACGTGAAGATATTCCCGTTTCCAAAGAAATCTTCACAGACTTCCACCTATCCATTTGCAGATGCTACAAAAAGAGAGTTTCAAAACTGCTCTATCAAAAGGAATGTTCAACTCTGTGAGTTGAATGCAGTCATCACAGAGAAGTTTCTGAGAAGGCTTCTGTCTAGATTTTATGTGAAGATATACCCGTTTCGAACGAAGGCCACAAAGTGCTCCAAATATCCACTTGCAGGTCCTCCAACAAGAGTGTTTCAAACGTGAACTATCAAAGGAAGGTTCAACTCTGGACTTTGAATGCAAACGTCAGAAAGATGTTTCTGCGAAAGCTTCTGTTTAGTTAGGTGACGTTATCCCGTTTCCAACGAAATCCTCAGAGAGGTCCAAATATCCACCTGCAGATTCTGCAAAAAGTGTGTTTCCAAACTGCTCCACCCAAAGGCATGTTCAGCTCTGTGAGTTAAACTCAATCATCACAAAGTATTTTCTGAGAATGCTTCTGTCCAGTTTTTACATGAAGCTGTTTCCTTTACTACCGTAGGCCTCAAAGCGTTCCAAATCTCCACTTGCAGATACTACGAAAAGGGCGTTTCAACCTGAACTCACAAGGGAAGGTTCAACTCTGAGAGTTGAATGCCAACATCACAAAGAAGTTCTGGGAATGTTTCTCTTCAGTTATGTGAGTTTTATCCCGTTTCCAACGAAATTCTCAGAGAAGTACAAATATCCACTTGCATATTCTACACAAAGTGTGTTTTGAAAGTGCTCCATCAAAAGATATGCTCAGCTCTGTGAGTTAAACTCAATCATCACAAAGAATTTTCTGAGAATGCTTCTGTCTTGTTTTAGGATGAAGTTATTTCCTTTACGACGATAGGCCTCAAAGAGGTCCAAATCTCCACTTGCAGATTCTGCAGAAGGAGTGTTTCAAACCTGAACTATCAGAGAAAGGTTCAACACTGTGAGTTGAATGCAAGCATCACGAAGAAGGTTCTGAGAATGCTTCTGTTTTGATAGGTGAGTTTTCTCTCGTATCCAACGAAATCCTCAGAGAGGTCCAAATATCCACTTGCAGATTCTACAGAAAGTGTGTTTTGAAACTGCTCCATCTAAAGGAATGGTCAGCTGTGTGAGTTGAACTCAATCGTAACAAAGTGTTTCCTGGGAATGCTACTGTCTAGTTTTTATGGGCAGTTATATCCTCTGCTGCCATAGGCCTCAAAGCGGTCCAAATCTCCCCTTTCAGATTCTACCAAAAGTGTGTTTCCAAAAGGCTCTATCAAAGGGAATGTTCAACTCTGTGACTTGAATGCAATCATCACAAAGCAGTTTCTGAGAATGCTTCCATGTAGCTTTTAGGAGCAGATATTTCCTTTTCCACCCCAGGCCTCGAAGCCCTCCAAAT
The DNA here is from genome assembly GCF_000001405.40 of Homo sapiens. NCBI lineage: Eukaryota > Metazoa > Chordata > Mammalia > Primates > Hominidae > Homo > Homo sapiens. The sequence goes on along the minus strand of NC_000001.11, from coordinate 122,496,977 downwards.
GTCCCCTTGCAGATGCTAGAAAGAGAGGGTTTCAAAGCTGCTCTATCAAAAGGAAAGTACAACTCTGTGAGTTGAATGCAAACATCACAAAGAAGCTCCTGAGCATGCTTCCGTTTAGCTTTCATGGGAAGATTATCCCTTTTCCATCGAAATGTTCAAAGAGGTCCACATATCCGCTTGCAGATTCCACCGAAAGAGTGTTTCCAAACTGCTGTATCAAAAGGAATCTTCAACTCCGTGAGTTGAATGCAATCATCACAAAGAAGTTTCTGACAATGCTTCTGTTTACTTTTTATGCTAGACAGAAGAATTCTCAGTAACTTCCTTTCGTTGTGTGTATTCAACTCACAGAGTTGAACGATCCTTTACACAGAGCAGACTTGAAACACTCTTTTTCTGGAATTTGCAAGTGGAGATTTCAGCCGCTTTGTGGTAAATGGTAGAAAAGGAAATATCTTCGTATAAAAACTAGATAGATCTGTTTACTTTTTACGTGAAGATATTCCCGTTTCCAAAGAAATCTTCACAGAGTTCCACCTATCCATTTGCAGATGCTAGAAAAAGAGAGTTTCAAAACTGCTCTATCAAAAGGAATGTTCAACTCTGTGACTTGAATGCAATCATCACAGAGAAGTTTCTGAGAAGGCTTCTGTCTAGATTTTATGTGAAGATACAGCCGTTTCGAACGAAGGCCACAAAGTGCTCAAAATATCCACTTGCAGGTCCTCCAAAAAGAGTGTTTCAAACGTGAACTACCAAAGGAAGGCTCAACTCTGGACTTTGAAGGCCAACGTCAGAAAGATGTTTCTGCGAAAGCTTCTGTTTAGTTAGGTGACGTTATCCCGTTTCCAACGAAATCCTCAGAGAGGTCCAAATATCCACCTGCAGAGTCTACAAAAAGTGTGTTTCAAAACTCCTCCACCCAAAGGAATGTTCAGCTCTGTGAGTTGAACTCAATCATCCCAAAGTATTTTCTGAGAATGCTTCTGTCCAGTTTTTACATGAAGCTGTTTCCTTTACTACCGTAGGCCTCAAAGCGTTCCAAATCTACACTTGCAGATACTACGAAAAGAGCGTTTCAACCTGAACTCACGAGGGAAGGTTCAACTCTGTCAGTTGAATGCCAACATCACAAAGAAGTTTCTGACAATGCTTCTCTTCAGTTATGTGAGTTTTATCCCGTTTCCAACGAAATTCTCAGAGAAGTACAAATATCCACTTGCATATTCTACAAAAAGTGTGTTTTGAAAATGCTCCATCAAAAGATATGCTCAGCTCTGTGAGTTAAACTCAATCATCACAAAGAATTTTTTGAGAATGCTTCTGTCTTGTTTTAGGATGAAGTTATTTCCTTTACGACGATAGGCCTCAAAGAGGTCCAAATCTCCACTTGCAGATTCTGCAGAAGGAGTGTTTCAAACCTGAACTATCAGAGAAAGGTTCAACACTGTGAGTTGAATGCAAGCATCACGAAGAAGGTTCTGAGAATGCTTCTGTTTAGATAGGTGAGTTTTCTCCCGTATCCAACGAAATCCTCAGAGAGGTCCAAATATCCACTTGCAGATTCTACAGAAAGTGTGTTTTGAAACTGCTCCATCCAAAGGAATGTTCAGCTCTGTGAGTTGAACTCAATCGTCACAAAGTGTTTCCTGGGAATGCTACTGTCTAGTTTTTATGGGCAGTTATATCCTCTGCTGCCATAGGCCTCAAAGCGGTCCAAATCTCCCCTTTCAGATTCTACCAAAAGTGTGTTTCCAAACGGCTCTATCAAAGGGAATGTTCAACTCTGTGACTTGAATGCAATCATCACAAAGCAGTTTCTGAGAATGCTTCCATGTAGCTTTTATGAGCAGATATTTCCTTTTCCACCCCAGGCCTCGAAGCCCTCCAAATGTCCCCTAGCAGATGCTAGAAAGAGAGGGTTTCAAAGCTGCTCTATCAAAAGGAAAGTACAACTCTGTGAGTTGAATGCAAACATCACAAAGAAGTTCCTGAGCATGCTTCCGTTTAGCTTTTATGGGAAGATTATCCCTTTTCCATCGAAATGTTCAAAGAGTTCCACATATCCGCTTGCAGATTCCACCGAAAGAGTGTTTCCAAACTGCTGTATCAAAAGGAATCTTCAACTCCGTGAGTTGAATGCAATCATCACAAAGAAGTTTCTGACAACGCTTCTCTCTAGTTTTTATGTGAAGATATTTCCTTTTCCACCACAGGCCTGAAAGCGCTCCAAATGTCCACTTGGAGACTCTACGAAAAGAATGTTTCAAAACTGCTCTATGAAAAGCAATGTTATACTCTGGGAGTTGAACACAAGCCTCACAAAGGAGTTTCTGAGATTGCTTCTGTTTACTTTTTACGTGAAGATATTCCCGTTTCCAAAGAAATCTTCACAGAGTTCCACCTATCCATTTGCAGATGTTAGAAAATGAGAGTTTCAAAACTGCTCTATCAAAAGGAATGTTCAACTCTGTGAGTTGAATGCAGTCATCACAGAGAAGTTTCTGAGAAGGCTTCTGGCTAGATTTTATGTGAAGATATACCCGTTTCGAACAAAGGCAACAAAGTGCTCCAAATATCCACTTGCAGGTCCTCCAACAAGAGTGTTTCAAACGTGAACTATCAAAGGAAGGTTCAACTCTGGACTTTGAATGCAAACGTCAGAAAGATGTTTCTGCGAAAGCTTCTGTTTAGTTAGGTGACGTTATCCCGTTTCCAACGAAATCCTCAGAGAGGTCCAAATATCCACCTGCAGATTCTGCAAAAAGTGTGTTTCCAAACTGCTCCACCCAAAGGCATGTTCAGCTCTGTGAGTTAAACTCAATCATCACAAAGTATTTTCTGAGAATGCTTCTGTCCAGTTTTTACATGAAGCTGTTTCCTTTACTACCGTAGGCCTCAAAGCGTTCCAAATCTCCACTTGCAGATACTACGAAAAGAGCGTTTCAACCTGAACTCACGAGGGAAGGTTCAACTCTGTCAGTTGAATGCCAACATCACAAAGAAGTTCTGGGAATGTTTCTCTTCAGTTATGTGAGTTTTATCCCGTTTCCAACGAAATTCCCAGAGAAGTACAAATATCCACTTGCATATTCTACACAAAGTGTGTTTTGAAAGTGCTCCATCAAAAGATATGCTCAGCTCTGTGAGTTAAACTCAATCATCACAAAGAATTTTCTGAGAATGCTTCTGTCTTGTTTTAGGATGAAGTTATTTCCTTTACGACGATAGGCCTCAAAGAGGTCCAAATCTCCACTTGCAGATTCTGCAGAAGGAGTGTTTCAAACCTGAACTATCAGAGAAAGGTTCAACACTGTGAGTTGAATGCAAGCATCACGAAGAAGGTTCTGAGAATGCTTCTGTTTAGATAGGTGAGTTTTCTCCCGTATCCAACGAAATCCTCAGAGAGGTCCAAATATCCACTTGCAGATTCTACAGAAAGTGTGTTTTGAAACTGCTCCATCCAAAGGAATGTTCAGCTCTGTGAGTTGAACTCAATCGTCACAAAGTGTTTCCTGGGAATGCTACTGTCTTGTTTTTATGGGCAGTTATATCCTCTGCTGCCATAGGCCTCAAAGCGGTCCAAATCTCCCCTTTCAGATTCTACCAAAAGTGTGTTTCCAAACGGCTCTATCAAAGGGAATGTTCAACTCTGTGACTTGAATGCAATCATCACAAAGCAGTTTCTGAGAATGCTTCCATGTAGCTTTTAGGAGAAGATATTTCCTTTTCCACCCCAGGCCTCGAAGCCCTCCAAATGTCCCCTTGCAGATGCTAGAAAGAGAGGGTTTCAAAGCTGCTCTATCAAAAGGAAAGTACAACTCTGTGAGTTGAATGCAAACATCACAAAGAAGCTCCTGAGCATGCTTCCGTTTAGCTTTCATGGGAAGATTATCCCTTTTCCATCGAAATGTTCAAAGAGGTCCACATATCCGCTTGCAGATTCCACCGAAAGAGTGTTTCCAAACTGCTGTATCAAAAGGAATCTTCAACTCCGTGAGTTGAATGCAATCATCACAAAGAAGTTTCTGACAATGCTTCTCTCTAGTTTTTATATGAAGATATTTCCTTTTCCACCACAGGCCTGAAAGCGCTCCAAATGTCCACTTGGAGACTCTACGAAAAGAATGTTTCAAAACTGCTCTATGAAAAGCAATGTTATACTCTGGGAGTTGAACACAAGCCTCACAAAGGAGTTTCTGAGAATGCTTCTGTTTATTTTTTATGTGAAGATATTCCCGTTTCCAAAGAAATCTTCACAGAGGTCCACATATCCACTTGCAGATTCTACAAAAAGAGAGTTTCAAAACTGCTGTATCAAAAGGAATGTTCAACTCTGCGAGTTGAATGCAATCATCACAAAGCAGTTTCTGAGAAGGCTTCTGTCTAGATTTTATGTGAAGATATACCCGTTTCGAACGAAGGCCACAAAGTGCTCCAAATATCCACTTGCAGGTCCTCCAACAAGAGTGTTTCAAACGTGAACTATCAAAGGAAGGTTCAACTCTGGACTTTGAATGCAAACGTCAGAAAGATGTTTCTGCGAAAGCTTCTGTTTAGTTAGGTGACGTTATCCCGTTTCCAAGGAAATCCTCAGAGAGGTCCAAATATCCACCTGCAGATTCTGCAAAAAGTGTGTTTCCAAACTGCTCCACCCAAAGGCATGTTCAGCTCTGTGAGTTAAACTCAATCATCACAAAGTATTTTCTGAGAATGCTTCTGTCCAGTTTTTACATGAAGCTGTTTCCTTTACTACCGTAGGCCTCAAAGCGTTCCAAATCTCCACTTGCAGATACTACGAAAAGAGCGTTTCAACCTGAACTCACGAGGGAAGGTTCAACTCTGTCAGTTGAATGCCAACATCACAAAGAAGTTCTGGGAATGTTTCTCTTCAGTTATGTGAGTTTTATCCCGTTTCCAACGAAATTCTCAGAGAAGTACAAATATCCACTTGCATATTCTACAAAAAGTGTGTTTTGAAAACGCTCCATCAAAAGATACGCTCAGCTCTGTGAGTTAAACTCAATCATCACAAAGAATTTTCTGAGAATGCTTCTGTCTTGTCTTAAGATGAAGTTATTTCCTTTACGACGATAGGCCTCAAAGAGGTCCAAATCTCCTCTTGCAGATTCTGCAGAAGGAGTGTTTCAAACCTGAACTATCAGAGAAAGGTTCAACACTGAGAGTTGAATGCAAGCATCACGAAGAAGGTTCTGAGAATGCTTCTGTTTAGATAAGTGAGTTTTCTCCCGTATCCAACGAAATCCTCAGAGAGGTCCAAATATCCACTTGCAGATTCTACAGAAAGTGTGTTTGGAAACTGCTCCATCCAAAGGAATGTTCAGCTCTGTGAGTTGAACTCAATCGTCACAAAGTGTTTCCTGGGAATGCTACTGTCTAGTTTTTATGTGCAGTTATATCCTCTGCTGCCATAGGCCTCAAAGCGGTGCTAATCTCCCCTTTCAGATTCTACCAAAAGTGTGTTTCCAAACGGCTGTATGAAAGGGAATGTTCAACTCTGTGACTTGAATGCAATCATCACAAAGCAGTTTCTGAGAATGCTTCCATGTAGCTTTTATGAGAAGATATTTCCTTTCGCACCCCAGGCCTCGAAGCCCTCCAAATGTCCCCTTGCAGATGCTAGAAAGAGAGGGTTTCAAAGCTGCTCTATCAAAAGGAAAGTAGAACTCTGTGAGTTGAATGCAAACATCACAAAGAAGTTCCTGAGCATGCTTCCGTTTAGCATTTATGGGAAGATTATCCCTTTTCCATCGAAATATTCAAAGAGGTCCACATATCCGCTTGCAGGTTCCACCGAAAGAGGGTTTCCAAATTGCTGTATCGAAAGGAATCTTCAACTCCGTGAGTTGAATGCAATCATCACAAAGAAGTTTCTGACAATGCTTCTCTCTAGTTTTTATGTGAAGATATTTCCTTTTCCACCACAGGCCTGAAAGCGCTCCAAATGTCCACTTGGAGACCCTACGAAAAGAATGTTTCAAAACTGCTCTATGAAAAGCAATGTTATACTCTGGGAGTTGAACACAAGCCTCACAAAGGCGTTTCTGAGAATGCTTCTGTTTACTTTTTACGTGAAGATATTCCCGTTTCCAAAGAAATCTTCACAGACTTCCACCTATCCATTTGCAGATGCTAGAAAAAGAGAGTTTCAAAACTGCTCTATCAAAAGGAATGTTCAACTCTGTGAGTTGAATGCAGTCATCACAGAGAAGTTTCTGAGAAGGCTTCTGTCTAGATTTTATGTGAAGATATACCCGTTTCGAACAAAGGCCACAAAGTGCTCCAAATATCCACTTGCAGGTCCTCCAACAAGAGTGTTTCAAACGTGAACTATCAAAGGAAGGTTCAACTCTGGACTTTGAATGCAAACGTCAGAAAGATGTTTCTGCGAAAGCTTCTGTTTAGTTAGGTGACGTTATCCCGTTTCCAACGAAATCCTCAGAGAGGTCCAAATATCCACCTGCAGATTCTGCAAAAAGTGTGTTTCCAAACTGCTGCACCCAAAGGCATGTTCAGCTCTGTGAGTTAAACTCAATCATCACAAAGTATTTTCTGAGAATGCTTCTGTCCAGTTTTTACATGAAGCTGTTTCCTTTACTACCGTAGGCCTCAAAGCGTTCCAAATCTCCACTTGCAGATACTACGAAAAGGGCGTTTCAACCTGAACTCACAAGGGAAGGTTCAACTCTGAGAGTTGAATGCCAACATCACAAAGAAGTTCTGGGAATGTTTCTCTTCAGTTATGTGAGTTTTATCCCGTTTCCAACGAAATTCTCAGAGAAGTACAAATATCCACTTGCATATTCTACAAAAAGTGTGTTTTGAAAGTGCTCCATCAAAAGATATGCTCAGCTCTGTGAGTTAAACTCAATCATCACAAAGAATTTTCTGAGAATGCTTCTGTCTTGTTTTAGGATGAAGTTATTTCCTTTACGATGATAGGCCTCAAAGAGGTCCAAATCTCCACTTGCAGATTCTGCAGAAGGAGTGTTTCAAACCTGAACTATCAGAGAAAGGTTCAACACTGTGAGTTGAATGCAAGCATCACGAAGAAGGTTCTGAGAATGCTTCTGTTTAGATAGGTGAGTTTTCTCCCGTATCCAACGAAATCCTCAGAGAGGTCCAAATATCCACTTGCAGATTCTACAGAAAGTGTGTTTTGAAACTGCTCCATCCAAAGGAATGTTCAGCTCTGTGAGTTGAACTCAATCGTCACAAAGTGTTTCCTGGGAATGCTACTGTCTAGTTTTATGGGCAGTTATATCCTCTGCTGCCATAGGCCTCAAAGCGGTCCAAATCTCCCCTTTCAGATTCTACCAAAAGTGTGTTTCCAAACGGCTCTATCAAAGGGAATGTTCAACTCTGTGACTTGAATGCAATCATCACAAAGCAGTTTCTGATAATGCTTCCATGTAGCTTTTATGAGCAGATATTTCCTTTTCCACCCCAGGCCTCGAAGCCCTCCAAATGTCCCCTTGCAGATGCTAGAAAGAGAGGGTTTCAAAGCTGCTCTATCAAAAGGAAAGTACAACTCTGTGAGTTGAATGCAAACATCACAAAGAAGTTCCTGAGCATGCTTCCGTTTAGCTTTCATGGGAAGATTATCCCTTTTCCATCGAAATGTTCAACGAGGTCCACATATCCGCTTGCAGATTCCACCGAAAGAGTGTTTCCAAACTGCTGTATCAAAAGGAATCTTCAACTCCGTGAGTTGAATGCAATCATCACAAAGAAGTTTCTGACAATGCTTCTCTCTAGTTTTTATGTGAAGATATTTCCTTTTCCACCACAGGCCTGAAAGCGCTCCAAATGTCCACTTGGAGACTCTACGAAAAGAATGTTTCAAAACTGCTCTATGAAAAGCAATGTTATACTCTGGGAGTTGAACACAAGCCTCACAAAGGAGTTTCTGAGAATGCTTCTGTTTACTTTTTACGTGAAGATATTCCCGTTTCCAAAGAAATCTTCACAGACTTCCACCTATCCATTTGCAGATGCTAGAAAAAGAGAGTTTCAAAACTGCTCTATCAAAAGGAATGTTCAACTCTGTGAGTTGAATGCAGTCATCACAGAGAAGTTTCTGAGAAGGCTTCTGGCTAGATTTTATGTGAAGATATACCCGTTTCGAACAAACGCCACAAAGTGCTCCAAATATCCACTTGCAGGTCCTCCAACAAGAGTGTTTCAAACGTGAACTATCAAAGGAAGGTTCAACTCTGGACTTTGAATGTAAACGTCAGAAAGATGTTTCTGCGAAAGCTTCTGTTTAGTTAGGTGACGTTATCCCGTTTCCAACGAAATCCTCAGAGAGGTCCAAATATCCACCTGCAGATTCTGCAAAAAGTGTGTTTCCAAACTGCTCCACCCAAAGGAATGTTCAGCTCTGTGAGTTAAACTCAATCATCACAAAGTATTTTCTGAGAATGCTTCTGTCCAGTTTTTACATGAAGCTGTTTCCTTTACTACCGTAGGCCTCAAAGCGTTCCAAATCTCCACTTGCAGATACTACGAAAAGAGCGTTTCAACCTGAACTCACAAGGGAAGGTTCAACTCTTTCAGTTCAATGCCAACATCACAAAGAAATTCTGGGAATGTTTCTCTTCAGTTATGTGAGTTTTATCCCGTTTCCAACGAAATTCTCAGAGAAGTACAAATATCCACTTGCATATTCTACACAAAGTGTGTTTTGAAAGTGCTCCATCAAAAGATATGCTCAGCTCTGTGAGTTAAACTCAATCATCACAAAGAATTTTCTGAGAATGCTTCTGTCTTGTTTTAGGATGAAGTTATTTCCTTTACGACGATAGGCCTCAAAGAGGTCCAAATCTCCACTTGCAGATTCTGCAGAAGGAGTGTTTCAAACCTGAACTATCAGAGAAAGGTTCAACACTGTGAGTTGAATGCAAGCATCACGAAGAAGGTTCTGAGAATGCTTCTGTTTAGATAGGTGAGTTTTCTCCCGTATCCAACGAAATCCTCAGAGAGGTCCAAATATCCACTTGCAGATTCTACAGAAAGTGTGTTTTGAAACTGCTCCATCCAAAGGAATGTTCAGCTCTGTGAGTTGAACTCAATCGTCACAAAGTGTTTCCTGGGAATGCTACTGTCTAGTTTTTATGGGCAGTTATATCCTCTGCTGCCATAGGCCTCAAAGCGGTCCAAATCTCCCCTTTCAGATTCTACCAAAAGTGTGTTTCCAAACGGCTCTATCAAAGGGAATGTTCAACTCTGTGACTTGAATGCAATCATCACAAAGCAGTTTCTGAGAATGCTTCCATGTAGCTTTTAGGAGAAGATATTTCCTTTTCCACCCCAGGCCTCGAAGCCCTCCAAATGTCCCCTTGCAGATGCTAGAAAGAGAGGGTTTCAAAGCTGCTCTATCAAAAGGAAAGTACAACTCTGTGAGTTGAATGCAAACATCACAAAGAAGCTCCTGAGCATGCTTCCGTTTAGCTTTCATGGGAAGATTATCCCTTTTCCATCGAAATGTTCAAAGAGGTCCACATATCCGCTTGCAGATTCCACCGAAAGAGTGTCTCCAAACTGCTGTATCAAAAGGAATCGTCAACTCCGTGAGTTGAATGCAATCATCACAAAGAAGTTTCTGACAATGCTTCTCTCTAGTTTTCATGTGAAGATATTTCCTTTGCCACCACAGGCCTGAAAGCACTCCAAATGTGCACTTGGAGACTCTACGAAAAGAATGTTTCAAAACTGCTCTATGAAAAGCAATGTTATACTCTGGGAGATGAACACAAGCCTCACAAAGGAGTTTCTGAGAATGCTTCTGTTTACTTTTTACGTGAAGATATTCCCGTTTCCAAAGAAATCTTCACAGACTTCCACCTATCCATTTGCAGATGCTTGAAAAAGAGAGTTTCAAAACTGCTCTATCAAAAGGAATGTTCAACTCTGTGAGTTGAATGCAGGTCATCACAGAGAAGTTTCTGAGAAGGCTTCTGGCTAGATTTTATGTGAAGATATACCCGTTTCGAACAAACGCCACAAAGTGCTCCAAATATCCACTTGCAGGTCCTCCAACAAGAGTGTTTCAAACGTGAACTATCAAAGGAAGGTTCAACTCTGGACTTTGAATGCAAACGTCAGAAAGATGTTTCTGCGAAAGCTTCTGTTTAGTTAGGTGACGTTATCCCGTTTCCAACGAAATCCTCAGAGAGGTCCAAATATCCACCTGCAGATTCTGCAAAAAGTGTGTTTCCAAACTGCTGCACCCAAAGGCATGTTCAGCTCTGTGAGTTAAACTCAATCATCACAAAGTATTTTCTGAGAATGCTTCTGTCCAGTTTTTACATGAAGCTGTTTCCTTTACTACCGTAGGCCTCAAAGCGTTCCAAATCTCCACTTGCAGATACTACGAAAAGAGCGTTTCAACCTGAACTCACAAGGGAAGGTTCAACTCTGTCAGTTGAATGCCAACATCACAAAGAAGTTCTGGGAATGTTTCTCTTCAGTTATGTGAGTTTTATCCCGTTTCCAACGAAATTCTCAGAGAAGTACAAATATCCACTTGCATATTCTACAAAAAGTGTGTTTTGAAAGTGCTCCATCAAAAGATATGCTCAGCTCTGTGAGTTAAACTCAATCATCACAAAGAATTTTCTGAGAATGCTTCTGTCTTGTTTTAGGATGAAGTTATTTCCTTTATTACGATAGGCCTCAAAGAGGTCCAAATCTCCACTTGCAGATTCTGCAGAAGGAGTGTTTCAAACCTGAACTATCAGAGAAAGGTTCAACACTGTGAGTTGAATGCAAGCATCACGAAGAAGGTTCTGAGAATGCTTCTGTTTAGATAGGTGAGTTTTCTCCCGTATCCAACGAAATCCTCAGAGAGGTCCAAATATCCACTTGCAGATTCTACAGAAAGTGTGTTTTGAAACTGCTCCATCCAAAGGAATGTTCAGCTCTGTGAGTTGAACTCAATCGTCACAAAGTGTTTCCTGGGAATGCTACTGTCTAGTTTTTATGGGCAGTTATATCCTCTGCTGTCATAGGCCTCAAAGCGGTCCAAATCTCCCCTTTCAGATTCTACCAAAAGTGTGTTTCCAAACGGCTCTATTAAAGGGAATGTTCAACTCTATGACTTGAATGCAATCATCACAAAGCAGTTTCTGAGAATGCTTCCATGTAGCTTTAATGAGCAGATATTTCCTTTTCCACCCCAGGCCTCGAAGCCCTCCAAATGTCCCCTTGCAGATGCTAGAAAGAGAGGGTTTCAAAGCTGCTCTATCAAAAGGAAAGTACAACTCTGTGAGTTGAATGCAAACATCACAAAGAAGTTCCTGAGCATGCTTCCGTTTAGCTTTTATGGGAAGATTATCCCTTTTCCATCGAAATGTTCAACGAGGTCCACATATCCGCTTGCAGATTCCACCGAAAGAGTGTTTCCAAACTGCTGTATCAAAAGGAATCTTCAACTCCGTGAGTTGAATGCAATCATCACAAAGAAGTTTCTGACAATGCTTCTCTCTAGTTTTTATGTGAAGATATTTCCTTTTCCACCACAGGCCTGAAAGCGCTCCAAATGTCCACTTGGAGACTCTACGAAAAGAATGTTTCAAAACTGCTCTATGAAAAGCAATGTTATACTCTGGGAGTTGAACACAAGCCTCACAAAGGAGTTTCTGAGATTGCTTCTGTTTACTTTTTACGTGAAGATATTCCCGTTTCCAAAGAAATCTTCACAGAGTTCCACCTATCCATTTGTAGATGCTAGAAAAAGAGAGTTTCAAAACTGCTCTATCAAAAGGAATGTTCAACTCTGTGAGTTGAATGCAATCATCACAGAGAAGTTTCTGAGAAGGCTTCTGTCTAGATTTTATGTGAAGATATACCCGTTTCGAACGAAGGCCACAAAGTGCTCCAAATATCCACTTGCAGGTCCTCCAACAAGAGTGTTTCAAACGTGAACTATCAAAGGAAGGTTCAACTCTGGACTTTGAATGCAAACGTCAGAAAGATGTTTCTGCGAAAGCTTCTGTTTAGTTAGGTGACGTTATCCCGTTTCCAACGAAATCCTCAGAGAGGTCCAAATATCCACCTGCAGATTCTGCAAAAAGTGTGTTTCCAAACTGCTCCACCCAAAGGCATGTTCAGCTCTGTGAGTTAAACTCAATCATCACAAAGTATTTTCTGAGAATGCTTCTGTCCAGTTTTTACATGAAGCTGTTTCCTTTACTACCGTAGGCCTCAAAGCGTTCCAAATCTCCACTTGCAGATACTACGAAAAGGGCGTTTCAACCTGAACTCACAAGGGAAGGTTCAACTCTGTCAGTTGAATGCCAACATCACAAAGAAGTTCTGGGAATGTTTCTCTTCAGTTATGTGAGTTTTATCCCGTTTCCAACGAAATTCTCAGAGAAGTACAAATATCCACTTGCATATTCTACAAAAAGTGTGTTTTGAAAGTGCTCCATCAAAAGATATGCTCAGCTCTGTGAGTTAAACTCAATCATCACAAAGAATTTTCTGAGAATGCTTCTGTCTTGTTTTAGGATGAAGTTATTTCCTTTACGACGATAGGCCTCAAAGAGGTCCAAATCTCCACTTGCAGATTCTGCAGAAGGAGTGTTTCAAACCTGAACTATCAGAGAAAGGTTCAACACTGTGAGTTGAATGCAAGCATCACGAAGAAGTTCTGAGAATGCTTCTGTTTAGATAGGTGAGTTTTCTCCCGTATCCAACGAAATCCTCAGAGAGGTCCAAATATCCCCTTGCAGATTCTACAGAAAGTGTGTTTTGAAACTGCTCCATCCAAAGGAATGTTCAGCTCTGTGAGTTGAACTCAATCGTCACAAAGTGTTTCCCGGGAATGCTACTGTCTAGTTTTTATGGGCAGTTATATCCTCTGCTGCCATAGGCCTCAAAGCGGTCCAAATCTCCCCTTTCAGATTCTACCAAAAGTGTGTTTCCAAACGGCTCTATCAAAGGGAATGTTCAACTCTGTGACTTGAATGCAATCATCACAAAGCAGTTTCTGAGAATGCTTCCATGTAGCTTTTAGGAGAAGATATTTCCTTTTCCACCCCAGGCCTCGAAGCCCTCCAAATGTCCCCTTGCAGATGCTAGAAAGAGAGGGTTTCAAAGCTGCTCTATCAAAAGGAAAGTACAACTCTGTGAGTTGAATGCAAACATCACAAAGAAGCTCCTGAGCATGCTTCCGTTTAGCTTTCATGGGAAGATTATCCCTTTTCCATCGAAATGTTCAAAGAGGTCCACATATCCGCTTGCAGATTCCACCGAAAGAGTGTTTCCAAACTGCTGTATCAAAAGGAATCGTCAACTCCGTGAGTTGAATGCAATCATCACAAAGAAGTTTCTGACAACGCTTCTCTCTAGTTTTTATGTGAAGATATTTCCTTTTCCACCACAGGCCTGAAAGCGCTCCAAATGTCCACTTGGAGACTCTACGAAAAGAATGTTTCAAAACTGCTCTATGAAAAGCAATGTTATACTCTGGGAGTTGAACACAAGCCTCACAAAGGAGTTTCTGAGAATGCTTCTGTTTACTTTTTACGTGAAGATATTCCCGTTTCCAAAGAAATCTTCACAGACTTCCACCTATCCATTTGCAGATGCTAGAAAAAGAGAGTTTCAAAACTGCTCTATCAAAAGGAATGTTCAACTCTGTGAGTTGAATGCAGTCATCACAGAGAAGTTTCTGAGAAGGCTTCTGTCTAGATTTTATGTGAAGATATACCCGTTTCGAACGAAGGCCACAAAGTGCTCCAAATATCCACTTGCAGGTCCTCCAACAAGAGTGTTTCAAACGTGAACTATCAAAGGAAGGTTCAACTCTGGACTTTGAATGCAAACGTCAGAAAGATGTTTCTGCGAAAGCTTCTGTTTAGTTAGGTGACGTTATCCCGTTTCCAACGAAATCCTCAGAGAGGTCCAAATATCCACCTGCAGATTCTGCAAAAAGTGTGTTTCCAAACTGCTCCACCCAAAGGCATGTTCAGCTCTGTGAGTTAAACTCAATCATCACAAAGTATTTTCTGAGAATGCTTCTGTCCAGTTTTTACATGAAGCTGTTTCCTTTACTACCGTAGGCCTCAAAGCGTTCCAAATCTCCACTTGCAGATACTACGAAAAGGGCGTTTCAACCTGAACTCACAAGGGAAGGTTCAACTCTGTCAGTTGAATGCCAACATCACAAAGAAGTTCTGGGAATGTTTCTCTTCAGTTATGTGAGTTTTATCCCGTTTCCAACGAAATTCTCAGAGAAGTACAAATATCCACTTGCATATTCTACACAAAGTGTGTTTTGAAAGTGCTCCATCAAAAGATATGCTCAGCTCTGTGAGTTAAACTCAATCATCACAAAGAATTTTCTGAGAATGCTTCTGTCTTGTTTTAGGATGAAGTTATTTCCTTTACGACGATAGGCCTCAAAGAGGTCCAAATCTCCACTTGCAGATTCTGCAGAAGGAGTGTTTCAAACCTGAACTATCAGAGAAAGGTTCAACACTGTGAGTTGAATGCAAGCATCACGAAGAAGGTTCTGAGAATGCTTCTGTTTAGATAGGTGAGTTTTCTCCCGTATCCAACGAAATCCTCAGAGAGGTCCAAATATCCACTTGCAGATTCTACAGAAAGTGTGTTTTGAAACTGCTCCATCCAAAGGAATGTTCAGCTCTGTGAGTTGAACTCAATCGTCACAAAGTGTTTCCTGGGAATGCTACTGTCTAGTTTTTATGGGCAGTTACATCCTCTGCTGCCATAGGCCTCAAAGCGGTCCAAATCTCCCCTTTCAGATTCTACCAAAAGTGTGTTTCCAAACGGCTCTATCAAAGGGAATGTTCAACTCTGTGACTTGAATGCAATCATCACAAAGCAGTTTCTGAGAATGCTTCCATGTAGCTTTTAGGAGCAGATATTTCCTTTTCCACCCCAGGCCTCGAAGCCCTCCAAATGTCCCCTTGCAGATGCTAGAAAGAGAGGGTTTCAAAGCTGCTCTATCAAAAGGAAAGTACAACTCTGTGAGATGAATGCAAACATCACAAAGAAGTTCCTGAGCATGCTTCCGTTTAGCTTTCATGGGAAGATTATCCCTTTTCCATCGAAATGTTCAAAGAGGTCCGCATATCCGCTTGCAGATTCCACTGAAAGAGTGTTTCCAAACTGCTGTATCAAAAGGAATCTTCAACTCCGTGAGTTGAATGCAATCATCACAAAGAAGTTTCTGACAATGCTTCTCTCTAGTTTTTATGTGAAGATATTTCCTTTTCCACCACAGGCCTGAAAGCGCTCCAAATGTCCACTTGGAGACTCTACGAAAAGAATGTTTCAAAACTGCTCTATGAAAAGCAATGTTATACTCTGGGAGTTGAACACAAGCCTCACAAAGGAGTTTCTGAGAATGCTTCTGTTTATTTTACGTGAAGATATTCCCGTTTGCAAAGAAGTCTTCACAGAGTTCCACCTATCCATTTGCAGATGCTAGAAAAAGAGAGTTTCAAAACTGCTCTATCAAAAGGACTGTTCAACTCTGTGAGTTGAATGCAATCATCACAGAGAAGTTTCTGAGAAGGCTTCTGTCTAGATTTTATGTGAAGATATACCCGTTTCGAACGAAGGCCACAAAGTGCTCCAAATATCCACTTGCAGGTCCTCCAACAAGAGTGTTTCAAACGTGAACTATCAAAGGAAGGTTCAACTCTGGACTTTGAATGCAAACGTCAGAAAGATGTTTCTGCGAAAGCTTCTGTTTAGTTAGGTGACGTTATCCCGTTTCCAACGAAATCCTCAGAGAGGTCCAAATATCCACCTGCAGATTCTGCAAAAACTGTGTTTCCAAACTGCTCCACCCAAAGGCATGTTCAGCTCTGTGAGTTAAACTCAATCATCACAAAGTATTTTCTGAGAATGCTTCTGTCCAGTTTTTACATGAAGCTGTTTCCTTTACTACCGTAGGCCTCAAAGCGTTCCAAATCTCCACTTGCAGATACTACGAAAAGAGCGTTTCAACCTGAACTCACAAGGGAAGGTTCAACTCTGTCAGTTGAATGCCAACATCACAAAGAAGTTCTGGGAATGTTTCTCTTCAGTTATGTGAGGTTTATCCCGTTTCCCACGAAATTCTCAGGGAAGTCCAAATATCCACTTGCATATTCTACAAAAAGTGTGTTTTGAAAATGCTCCATCAAAAGATATGCTCAGCTCTGTGTGTTAAACTCAATCATCACAAAGAATTTTCTGAGAATGCTTCTGTCTTGTTTTAGGATGAAGTTATTTCCTTTACGACGATAGGCCTCAAAGAGGTCCAAATCTCCACTTGCAGATTCTGCAGAAGGAGTGTTTCAAACCTGAACTATCAGAGAAAGGTTCAACACTGTGAGTTGAATGCAAGCATCACGAAGAAGGTTCTGAGAATGCTTCTGTTTAGATAGGTGAGTTTTCTCCCGTATCCAACGAAATCCTCAGAGAGGTCCAAATATCCACTTGCAGATTCTACAGAAAGTGTGTTTTGAAACTGCTCCATCCAAAGGAATGTTCAGCTCTGTGAGTTGAACTCAATCGTCACAAAGTGTTTCCTGGGAATGCTACTGTCTAGTTTTTATGTGCAGTTATATCCTCTGCTACCATAGGCCTCAAAGCGGTCCAAATCTCCCCTTTCAGATTCTACCAAAAGTGTGTTTCCAAACGGCTCTATCAAAGGGAATGTTCAACTCTGTGACTTGAATGCAATCATCACAAAGCAGTTTCTGAGAATGCTTCCATGTAGCTTTTATGAGAAGATATTTCCTTTTCCACCCCAGGCCTCGAAGCCCTCCAAATGTCCCCTGGCAGATGCTAGAAAGAGAGGGTTTCAAAGCTGCTCTATCAAAAGGAAAGTACAACTACTGTGAGTTGAATGCAAACATCACAAAGAAGTTCCTGAGCATGCTTCCGTTTAGCTTTTATGGGAAAATTATCCGTTTTCCATCGCAATGTTCAAAGAGGTCCACATATCCGCTTGCAGATTCCACCGAAAGAGTGTTTCCAAACTGCTGTATCAAAAGGAATATTCAACTCCCTGAGTTGAATGCAATCATCACAAAGAAGTTTCTGACAATGCTTCTCTCTAGTTTTTATGTGAAGATATTTCCTTTTCCACCACAGGCCTGAAAGCACTCCAAATGTCCACTTGGAGACTCTACGAAAAGAATGTTTCAAAACTGCTCTATGAAAAGCAATGTTATACTCTGGGAGTTGAACACAAGCCTCACAAAGGAGTTTCTGAGAATGCTTCTGTTTACTTTTTACGTGAAGATATTCCCGTTTCCAAAGAAATCTTCACAGACTTCCACCTATCCATTTGCAGATGCTAGAAAAAGAGAGTTTCAAAACTGCTCTATCAAAAGGAATGTTCAACTCTGTGAGTTGAATGCAGTCATCACAGAGAAGTTTCTGAGAAGGCTTCTGTCTAGATTTTATGTGAAGATATACCCGTTTCGAACGAAGGCCACAAAGTGCTCCAAATATCCACTTGCAGGTCCTCCAACAAGAGTGTTTCAAACGTGAACTATCAAAGGAAGGTTCAACTCTGGACTTTGAATGCAAACGTCAGAAAGATGTTTCTGCGAAAGCTTCTGTTTAATTAGGTGACGTTATCCCGTTTCCAACGAAATCCTCAGAGAGGTCCAAATATCCACCTGCAGATTCTGCAAAAAGTGTGTTTCCAAACTGCTCCACCCAAAGGCATGTTCAGCTCTGTGAGTTAAACTCAATCATCACAAAGTATTTTCTGAGAATGCTTCTGTCCAGTTTTTACATGAAGCTGTCTCCTTTACTACCGTAGGCCTCAAAGAGTTCCAAATCTCCACTTGCAGATACTACGAAAAGAGCGTTTCAACCTGAACTCACGAGGGAAGATTCAACTCTGTCAGTTGAATGCCAACATCACAAAGAAGTTCTGGGAATGTTTCTCTTCAGTTATGTGAGTTTTATCCCGTTTCCAACGAAATTCTCAGAGAAGTACAAATATCCACTTGCATATTCTACACAAAGTGTGTTTTGAAAGTGCTCCATCAAAAGATATGCTCAGCTCTGTGAGGTAAACTCAATCATCACAAAGAATTTTCTGAGAATGCTTCTGTCTTGTTTTAGGATGAAGTTATTTCCTTTACGACGATAGGCCTCAAAGAGGTCCAAATCTCCACTTGCAGATTCTGCAGAAGGAGTGTTTCAAACCTGAACTATCAGAGAAAGGTTCAACACTGTGAGTTGAATGCAAGCATCACGAAGAAGGTTCTGAGAATGCTTCTGTTTAGATAGGTGAGTTTTCTCCCGTATCCAACGAAATCCTCAGAGAGGTCCAAATATCCACTTGCAGATTCTACAGAAAGTGTGTTTTGAAACTGCTCCATCCAAAGGAATGTTCAGCTCTGTGAGTTGAACTCAATCGTCACAAAGTGTTTCCTGGGAATGCTACTGTCTAGTTTTTATGGGCAGTTATATCCTCTGCTGCCATAGGCCTCAAAGCGGTCCAAATCTCCCCTTTCAGATTCTACCAAAAGTGTGTTTCCAAACGGCTCTATCAAAGGGAATGTTCAACTCTGTGACTTGAATGCAATCATCACAAAGCAGTTTCTGAGAATGCTTCCATGTAGCTTTTATGAGCAGATATTTCCTTTTCCACCCCAGGCCTCGAAGCCCTCCAAATGTCCCCTTGCAGATGCTAGAAAGAGAGGGTTTCAAAGCTGCTCTATCAAAAGGAAAGTACAACTCTGTGAGTTGAATGCAAACATCACAAAGAAGTTCCTGAGCATGCTTCCGTTTAGCTTTCATGGGAAGATTATCCCTTTTCCATCGAAATGTTCAAAGAGGTCCACATATCCGCTTGCAGATTCCACCGAAAGAGTGTTTCCAAACTGCTGTATCAAAAGGAATCTTCAACTCCGTGAGTTGAATGCAATCATCACAAAGAAGTTTCTGACAATGCTTCTCTCTAGTTTTTATGTGAAGATATTTCCTTTTCCACCACAGGCCTGAAAGCGCTCCAAATGTCCACTTGGAGACTCTACGAAAAGAATGTTTCAAAACTGCTCTATGAAAAGCAATGTTATACTCTGGGAGTTGAACACAAGCCTCACAAAGGAGTTTCTGAGAATGCTTCTGTTTACTTTTTACGTGAAAGATATTCCCGTTTCCAAAGAAATCTTCACAGACTTCCACCTATCCATTTGCAGATGCTAGAAAAAGAGAGTTTCAAAACTGCTCTATCAAAAGGAATGTTCAACTCTGTGAGTTGAATGCAGTCATCACAGAGAAGTTTCTGAGAAGGCTTCTGTCTAGATTTTATGTGAAGATATACCCGTTTCGAACGAAGGCCACAAAGTGCTCCAAATATCCACTTGCAGGTCCTCCAACAAGAGTGTTTCAAACGTGAACTATCAAAGGAAGGTTCAACTCTGGACTTTGAATGCAAACGTCAGAAAGATGTTTCTGCGAAAGCTTCTGTTTAGTTAGGTGACGTTATCCCGTTTCCAACGAAATCCTCAGAGAGGTCCAAATATCCACCTGCAGATTCTGCAAAAAGTGTGTTTCCAAACTGCTCCACCCAAAGGCATGTTCAGCTCTGTGAGTTAAACTCAATCATCACAAAGTATTTTCTGAGAATGCTTCTGTCCACTTTTTACATGAAGCTGTTTCCTTTACTACCGTAGGCCTCAAAGCGTTCCAAATCTCCACTTGCAGATACTACGAAAAGAGCATTTCAACCTGAACTCACAAGGGAATGTTCAACTCTGTCAGTTGAATGCCAACGTCACAAAGAAGTTCTGGGAATGTTTCTCTTCAGTTATGTGAGTTTTATCCCGTTTCCAACGAAATTCTCAGAGAAGTACAAATATCCACTTGCATATTCTACAAAAAGTGTGTTTTGAATGTGCTCCATCAAAAGATATGCTCACCTCTGTGAGTTAAACTCAATCATCACAAAGAATTTTCTGAGAATGCTTCTGTCTTGTTTTAGGATGAAGTTATTTCCTTTACGACGATAGGCCTCAAAGAGGTCCAAATCTCCACTTGCAGATTCTGCAGAAGGAGTGTTTCAAACCTGAACTATCAGAGAAAGGTTCAACACTGTGAGTTGAATGCAAGCATCACGAAGAAGGTTCTGAGAATGCTTCTGTTTAGATAGGTGAGTTTTCTCCCGTATCCAACGAAATCCTCAGAGAGGTCCAAATATCCACTTGCAGATTCTACAGAAAGTGTGTTTTGAAACTGCTCCATCCAAAGGAATGTTCAGCTCTGTGAGTTGAACTGAATCGTCACAAAGTGTTTCCTGGGAATGCTACTGTCTAGTTTTTATGTGCAGTTATATCCTCTGCTGCCATAGGCCTCAAAGCGGTCCAAGTCTCCCCTTTCAGATTCTACCAAAAGTGTGTTTCCAAACGGCTCTATCAAAGGGAATGTTCAACTGTGTGACTTGAATGCAATCATCACAAAGCAGTTTCTGAGAATGCTTCCATGTAGCTTTAATGAGCAGATATTTCCTTTTCCACCCCAGGCCTCGAAGCCCTCCAAATGTCCCCTTGCAGATGCTAGAAAGAGAGGGTTTCAAAGCTGCTCTATCAAAAGGAAAGTACAACTCTGTGAGTTGAATGCAAACATCACAAAGAAGCTCCTGAGCATGCTTCCGTTTAGCTTTTATGGGAAGATTATCCCTTTTCCATCGAAATGTTCAAAGAGGTCCACATATCCGCTTGCAGATTCCACCGAAAGAGTGTTTCCAAACTGCTGTATCAAAAGGAATCTTCAACTCCGTGAGTTGAATGCAATCATCACAAAGAAGTTTCTGACAACGCTTCTCTCTAGTTTTTATGTGAAGATATTTCCTTTTCCACCACAGGCCTGAAAGCGCTCCAAATGTCCACTTGGAGACTCTACGAAAAGAATGTTTCAAAACTGCTCTATGAAAAGCAATGTTATACTCTGGGAGTTGAACACAAGCCTCACAAAGGAGTTTCTGAGAATGCTTCTGTTTACTTTTTACGTGAAGATATTCCCGTTTCCAAAGAAATCTTCACAGAGTTCCACCTATCCATTTGCAGATGCTAGAAAAAGAGAGTTTCAAAACTGCTCTATCAAAAGGAATGTTCAACTCTGTGAGTTGAATGCAGTCATCACAGAGAAGTTTCTGAGAAGGCTTCTGTCTAGATTTTATGTGAAGATATACCCGTTTCGAACAAAGGCCACAAAGTGCTCCAAATATCCACTTGCAGGTCCTCCAACAAGAGTGTTTCAAACGTGAACTATCAAAGGAAGGTTCAACTCTGGACTTTGAATGCAAACGTCAGAAAGATGTTTCTGCGAAAGCTTCTGTTTAGTTAGGTGACGTTATCCCGTTTCCAACGAAATCCTCAGAGAGGTCCAAATATCCACCTGCAGATTCTGCAAAAAGTGTGTTTCCAAACTGCTCCACCCAAAGGCATGTTCAGCTCTGTGAGTTAAACTCAATCATCACAAAGTATTTTCTGAGAATGCTTCTGTCCAGTTTTTACATGAAGCTGTTTCCTTTACTACCGTAGGCCTCAAAGCGTTCCAAATCTCCACTTGCAGATACTACGAAAAGGGCGTTTCAACCTGAACTCACAAGGGAAGGTTCAACTCTGTCAGTTGAATGCCAACATCACAAAGAAGTTCTGGGAATGTTTCTCTTCAGTTATGTGAGGTTTATACCGTTTCCAACGAAATTCTCAGAGATGTCCAAATATCCACTTGCATAATCTACAAAAAGTGTGTTTTGAAAATGCTCCATCAAAAGATATGCTCAGCTCTGTGAGTTAAACTCAATCATCACAAAGAATTTTCTGAGAATGCTTCTGTCTAGTTTTTAGATGAAGTTCTCTCCTTTACTACGATAGGCCTCAAAGTGGTCCAAATCTCCACTTGCAGATTCTGCAGAAGGAGTGTTTCAAACCTGAACTATGAGAGAAAGGTTCAACACTGTGAGTTGAATGCAAGCATCACGAAGGAGGTTCTGAGAATGCTTCTGTTTAGATAGGTGAGTTTTCTCCCGTATCCAACCGAAATCCTCAGAGAGGTCCAAATATCCACTTGCAGATTCTACAGAAAGTGTGTTTTGAAACTGCTCCATCCAAAGGAATGTTCAGCTCTGTGAGTTGAACTCAATCGTCACAAAGTGTTTCCTGAGAATGCTACTGTCTAGTTTTTATGTGCAGTTATATCCTCTACTGCCATAGGCCTCAAAGCTGTCCAAATCTCCCCTTGCAGATTCTACCAAAAGTGTGTTTCCAAACGGCTCCATCAAAGGGAATGTTCAACTCTGTGACTTGAATGCAATCATCACAAAGCAGTTTCTGAGAATGCTTCCATGTAGCTTTTATGAGAAGATATTTCCTTTTCCACCCCAGGCCTCGAAGCCCTCCAAATGTCCCCTTGCAGATGCTAGAAAGAGAGGGTTTCAAAGCTGCTCTATCAAAAGGAAAGTACAACTCTGTGAGTTGAATGCAAACATCACAAAGAAGTTCCTGAGCATGCTTCCGTTTAGCTTTTATGGGAAGATTATCCCTTTTCCATCGAAATGTTCAAAGAGGTCCACATATCCGCCTGCAGATTCCACAAAAAGAGTCTTTCCAAACTGCTGTATCAAAAGGAATCCTCAGCTCCGTGAGTTGAATGCAATCATCACAAAGAAGTTTCTGACAATGCTTCTCTCTAGTTTTTATGTGAAGATATTTCCTTTTCCACCGCAGGCCTGAAAGCGCTCAAAATGTCCACTTGCAGACCCTACGAAAGGAATGTTTCAAAACTGCTCTATGAAAAGCAATGTTATACTCTGGGAGTTGAACACAAGCCTCACAAAGGAGTTTCTGAAAATGCTTCTGTTTATTTTACGTGAAGATATTCCCGTTTGCAAAGAAGTCTTCACAGAGTTCCACCTATCCATTTGCAGATGCTAGAAAAAGAGAGTTTCAAAACTGCTCTATCAAAAGGACTGTTCAACTCTGTGAGTTGAATGCAATCATCACAGAGAAGTTTCTGAGAAGGCTTCTGTCTAGATTTTATGTGAAGTTATACCCGTTTCGAACGAAGACCACAAAGTGCTCCAAATATCCACTTGCAGGTCCTCCAACAAGAGTGTTTCAAACGTGAACTATCAAAGGAAGGTTCAACTCTGGACTTTGAATGCAAACGTCAGAAAGATGTTTCTGCGAAAGCTTCTGTTTAGTTAGGTGACGTTATCCCGTTTCCAACGAAATCCTCAGAGAGGTCCAAATGTCCACCTGCAGAGTCTACAAAAAGTGTGTTTCCAAACTGCTCCACCCAAAGGAATGTTCAGCTCTGTGAGTTAAACTCAATCATCCCAAAGTATTTTCTGAGAATGCTTCTGTCCAGTTTTTACATGAAGCTGTCTCCTTTACTACCGTAGGCCTCAAAGCGTTCCAAATCTCCACTTGCAGATACTACGAAAAGGGCGTTTCAACCTGAACTCACAAGGGAAGGTTCAACTCTGTCAGTTGAATGCCAACATCACAAAGAAGTTCTGGGAATGTTTCTCTTCAGTTATGTGAGTTTTATCCCGTTTCCAACGAAATTCTCAGAGAAGTACAAATATCCACTTGCATATTCTACAAAAAGTGTGTTTTGAAAGTGCTCCATCAAAAGATATGCTCAGCTCTGTGAGTTAAACTCAATCATCACAAAGAATTTTCTGAGAATGCTTCTGTCTTGTTTTAGGATGAAGTTATTTCCTTTACGACGATAGGCCTCAAAGAGGTCCAAATCTCCACTTGCAGATTCTGCAGAAGGAGTGTTTCAAACCTGAACTATCAGAGAAAGGTTCAACACTGTGAGTTGAATGCAAGCATCACGAAGAAGGTTCTGAGAATGCTTCTGTTTAGATAGGTGAGTTTTCTCCCGTATCCAACGAAATCCTCAGAGAGGTCCAAATATCCACTTGCAGATTCTACAGAAAGTGTGTTTTGAAACTGCTCCATCCAAAGGAATGTTCAGCTCTGTGAGTTGAACTCAATCGTCACAAAGTGTTTCCTGGGAAGGCTACTGTCTACTTTTTATGGGCAGTTATATCCTCTGCTGCCATAGGCCTCAAAGCGGTCCAAATCTCCCGTTTCAGATTCTACCAAAAGTGTGTTTCTAAACGGCTCTATCAAAGGGAATGTTCAACTCTGTGACTTGAATGCAATCATCACAAAGCAGTTTCTGAGAATGCTTCCATGTAGCTTTTAGGAGAAGATATTTCCTTTTCCACCCCAGGCCTCGAAGCCCTCCAAATGTCCCTTGCAGATGCTAGAAAGAGAGGGTTTCAAAGCTGCTCTATCAAAAGGAAAGTACAACTCTGTGAGTTGAATGCAAACATCACAAAGAAGCTCCTGAGCATGCTTCCGTTTAGCTTTCATGGGAAGATTATCCCTTTTCCATCGAAATGTTCAAAGAGGTCCACATATCCGCTTGCAGATTCCACCGAAAGAGTGTTTCCAAACTGCTGTATCAAAAGGAATCTTCAACTCCGTGAGTTGAATGCAATCATCACAAAGAAGTTTCTGACAATGCTTCTCTCTAGTTTTTATGTGAAGATATTTCCTTTTCCACCACAGGCCTGAAAGCGCTCCAAATGTCCACTTGGAGACTCTACGAAAAGAATGTTTCAAAACTGCTCTATGAAAAGCAATGTTATACTCTGGGAGTTGAACACAAGCCTCACAAAGGAGTTTCTGAGAATGCTTCTGTTTACTTTTTACGTGAAGATATTCCCGTTTCCAAAGAAATCTTCACAGACTTCCACCTATCCATTTGCAGATGCTACAAAAAGAGAGTTTCAAAACTGCTCTATCAAAAGGAATGTTCAACTCTGTGAGTTGAATGCAGTCATCACAGAGAAGTTTCTGAGAAGGCTTCTGTCTAGATTTTATGTGAAGATATACCCGTTTCGAACAAAGGCCACAAAGTGCTCCAAATATCCACTTGCAGGTCCTCCAACAAGAGTGTTTCAAACGTGAACTATCAAAGGAAGGTTCAACTCTGGACTTTGAATGCAAACGTCAGAAAGATGTTTCTGCGAAAGCTTCTGTTTAGTTAGGTGACGTTATCCCGTTTCCAACGAAATCCTCAGAGAGGTCCAAATATCCACCTGCAGATTCTGCAAAAAGTGTGTTTCCAAACTGCTCCACCCAAAGGCATGTTCAGCTCTGTGAGTTAAACTCAATCATCACAAAGTATTTTCTGAGAATGCTTCTGTCCAGTTTTTACATGAAGCTGTTTCCTTTACTACCGTAGGCCTCAAAGCGTTCCAAATCTCCACTTGCAGATACTACGAAAAGAGCGTTTCAACCTAAACTCACAAGGGAAGGTTCAACTCTGTCAGTTGAATGCCAACATCACAAAGAAGTTCTGGGAATGTTTCTCTTCAGTTATGTGAGTTTTATCCCGTTTCCAACGAAATTCTCAGAGAAGTACAAATATCCACTTGCATATTCTACAAAAAGTGTGTTTTGAAAGTGCTCCATCAAAAGATATGCTCAGCTCTGTGAGTTAAACTCAATCATCACAAAGAATTTTCTGAGAATGCTTCTGTCTTGTTTTAGGATGAAGTTATTTCCTTTACGACGATAGGCCTCAAAGAGGTCCAAATCTCCACTTGCAGATTCTGCAGAAGGAGTGTTTCAAACCTGAACTATCAGAGAAAGGTTCAACACTGTGAGTTGAATGCAAGCATCACGAAGAAGGTTCTGAGAATGCTTCTCTTTAGATAGGTGAGTTTTCTCCCGCATCCAACGAAATCCTCAGAAAGGTCCAAATATCCACTTGCAGAATCTACAGAAAGTGTGTTTTGAAACTGCTCCATCCAAAGGAATGTTCAGCTCTGTGAGTTGAACTCAATTGTCGCCAAGTGTTTCCTGGGAATGCTACTGTCTAGTTTTTATGTGCAGTTATATCCTCTACTGCCATAGGCCTCATAGCGGTCCAAATCTCCCCTTTCAGATTGTACAAAAAGTGTGTTTCCAAACGGCTCCATCAAAGGGAATGTTCAACTCTGTGACTTGAATGTAATCACCACAAAGCAGTTTCTGAGAATGCTTCCATGTAGCTTTTATGAGAAGATATTTCCTTTTCCACCCCAGGCCTCGAAGCCCTCCAAATGTCCCCTTGCAGATGCTAGAAAGAGAGGGTTTCAAAGCTGCTCTATCAAAAGGAAAGTACAACTCTGTGAGTTGAACGCAAACATCACAAAGAAGTTCCTGAGCATGCTTCCGTTTAGCTTTTATGGGAAGATTATCCCTTTTCCATCGAAATGTTCAAAGAGGTCCACATATCCGCTTGCAGATTCCACCGAAAGACTGTTTCCAAACCGCTGTATCATAAGGAATCTTCAACTCCGTGGTTTGAATGCCATCATCACAAAGAATTTTCTGACAATACTTCTCTCTAGTTTTTATGTGAAGATATTTCCTTTTCCAACACAGGCCTGAAAGCGCTCCAAATGTCCACTTGGAGACTCTACGAAAAGAATGTCTCAAAACTGCTCTATGAAAAGCAATGTTATACTCTGGGAGTTGAACACAAGCCTCACAAAGGAGTTTCTGAGAATGCTTCTGTTTACTTTTTACGTGAAGATATTCCCGTTTCCAAAGAAATCTTCACAGAGTTCCACCTTCCCTTTGCAGATGCTAGAAAAAGAGAGTTTCAAAACTGCTCTATCAAAAGGAATGTTCAACTCTGTGAGTTGCATGCAATCATCACAGAGAAGTTTCTGAGAAGGCTTCTGTCTAGATTTTATGTGAAGATATACCCGTTTCCAACGAAGGCCACAAAGTGCTCCAAATATCCACTTGCAGGTCCTCCAACAAGAGTGTTTCAAACGTGAACTATCAAAGCAAAGGTCAGCTCTGGACTTTGAATGCAAACGTCAGAAATAAGTTTCTGCGAAAGCTTCTGTTTAGTTAGGTGACGTTATCCCGTTTCCAACGAAATCCTCAGAGAGGTCCAAATATCCACCTGCAGATTCTGCAAAAAGTGTGTTTCCAAACTGCTCCACCCAAAGGCATGTTCAGCTCTGTGAGTTAAACTCAATCATCACAAAGTATTTTCTGAGAATGCTTCTGTCCAGTTTTTACATGAAGCTGTTTCCTTTACTACCGTAGGCCTCAAAGCGTTCCAAATCTCCACTTGCAGATACTACGAAAAGAGCGTTTCAACCTGCACTCACAAGGGAAGGTTCAACTCTGTCAGTTGAATGCCAACATCACAAAGAAGTTCTGGGAATGTTTCTCTTCAGTTATGTGAGTTTTATCCCGTTTCCAACGAAATTCTCAGAGAAGTACAAATATCCACTTGCATATTCTACACAAAGTGTGTTTTGAAAGTGCTCCATCAAAAGATATGCTCAGCTCTGTGAGTTAAACTCAATCATCACAAAGAATTTTCTGAGAATGCTTCTGTCTTGTTTTAGGATGAAGTTATTTCCTTTACGACGATAGGCCTCAAAGAGGTCCAAATCTCCACTTGCAGATTCTGCAGAAGGAGTGTTTCAAACCTGAACTATCAGAGAAAGGTTCAACACTGTGAGTTGAATGCAAGCATCACGAAGAAGGTTCTGAGAATGCTTCTGTTTAGATAGGTGAGTTTTCTCCCGTATCCAACGAAATCCTCAGAGAGGTCCAAATATCCACTTGCAGATTCTACAGAAAGTGTGTTTTGAAACTGCTCCATCCAAAGGAATGTTGAGCTCTGTGAGTTGAACTCAATCGTCACAAAGTGTTTCCTGGGAATGCTACTGTCTAGTTTTTATGGGCAGTTATATCCTCTGCTGCCATAGGCCTCAAAGCGGTCCAAATCTCCCCTTTCAGATTCTACCAAAAGTGTGTTTCCAAACGGCTCTATCAAAGGGAATGTTCAACTCTGTGACTTGAATGCAATCATCACAAAGCAGTTTCTGAGAATGCTTCCATGTAGCTTTTATGAGCAGATATTTCCTTTTCCACCCCAGGCCTCGAAGCCCTCCAAATGTCCCCTTGCAGATGCTAGAAAGAGAGGGTTTCAAAGCTGCTCTATCAAATTAAAGTACAACTCTGTGAGTTCAATGCAAACATCACAAAGAAGTTCCTGAGCATGCTTCCGTTTAGCTTTTATGGGAAGATTATCCCTTTTCCATCGAAATGTTCAAAGAGGTCCACATATCCGCTTGCAGATTCCACCGAAAGAGTGTTTCCAAACTGCTGTATCAAAAGGAATCTTCAACTCCGTGAGTTGAATGCAATCATCACAAAGAAGTTTCTGACAACGCTTCTCTCTAGTTTTTATGTGAAGATATTTCCTTTTCCACCACAGGCCTGAAAGCGCTCCAAATGTCCACTTGGAGACTCTACGAAAAGAATGTTTCAAAACTGCTCTATGAAAAGCAATGTTATACTCTGGGAGTTGAACACAAGCCTCACAAAGGAGTTTCTGAGAATGCTTCTGTTTACTTTTTACGTGAAGATATTCCCGTTTCCAAAGAAATCTTCACAGACTTCCACCTATCCATTTGCAGATGCTAGAAAAAGAGAGTTTCAAAACTGCTCTATCAAAAGGAATGTTCAACTCTGTGAGTTGAATGCAGTCATCACAGAGAAGTTTCTGAGAAGGCTTCTGTCTAGATTTTATGTGAAGATATACCCGTTTCGAACAAAGGCCACAAAGTGCTCCAAATATCCACTTGCAGGTCCTCCAACAAGAGTGTTTCAAACGTGAACTATCAAAGGAAGGTTCAACTCTGGACTTTGAATGCAAACGTCAGAAAGATGTTTCTGCGAAAGCTTCTGTTTAGTTAGGTGACGTTATCCCGTTTCCAACGAAATCCTCAGAGAGGTCCAAATATCCACTTGCAGATGCTACAAAAAGTGTGTTTCAAAACTGCTCCATCCAAAGGAATGTTCAGCTCTGTGAGTTACACTCAATCATCTCAAACTATTTTCTGAGAATGCTTCTGTCCAGTTTTTACATGAAGCTGTTTCCTTTACTACCGTAGGCCTCAAAGCGTTCCAAATCTCCACTTGCAGATACTACGAAAAGAGCGTTTCAACCTGAACTCACAAGGGAAGGTTCAACTCTGTCAGTTGAATGCCAACATCACAAAGAAGTTCTGGGAATGTTTCTCTTCAGTTATGTGAGTTTTATCCCGTTTCCAACGAAATTCTCAGAGAAGTACAAATATCCACTTGCATATTCTACAAAAAGTGTGTTTTGAAAATGCTCCATCAAAAGATATGCTCAGCTCTGTGAGTTAAACTCAATCATCACAAAGAATTTTCTGAGAATGCTTCTGTCTTGTTTTAGGATGAAGTTATTTCCTTTACGACGATAGGCCTCAAAGAGGTCCAAATCTCCACTTGCAGATTCTGCAGAAGGAGTGTTTCAAACCTGAACTATCAGAGAAAGGTTCAACACTGTGAGTTGAATGCAAGCATCACGAAGAAGGTTCTGAGAATGCTTCTGTTTAGATAGGTGAGTTTTCTCCCGTATCCAACGAAATCCTCAGAGAGGTCCAAATATCCACTTGCAGATTCTACAGAAAGTGTGTTTTGAAACTGCTCCATCCAAAGGAATGTTCAGCTCTGTGAGTTGAACTCAATCGTCACAAATTGTTTCCTGGGAATGCTACTGTCTAGTTTTTATGGGCAGTTATATCCTCTGCTGCCATAGGCCTCAAAGCAGTCCAAATCTCCCCTTTCAGATTCTACCAAAAGTGTGTTTCCAAACGGCTCTATCAAAGGGAATGTTCAACTCTGTGACTTGAATGCAATCATCACAAAGCAGTTTCTGAGAATGCTTCCATGTAGCTTTTAGGAGAAGATATTTCCTTTTCCACCCCAGGCCTCGAAGCCCTCCAAATGTCCCCTTGCAGATGCTAGAAAGAGAGGGTTTCAAAGCTGCTCTATCAAAAGGAAAGTACAACTCTGTGAGATGAATGCAAACATCACAAAGAAGTTCTTGAGCATGCTTCCGTTTAGCTTTTATGGGAAGATTATCCCTTTTCCATCGAAATGTTCAAAGAGGTCCACATATCCGCTTGCAGATTCCACCGAAAGACTGTTTCCAAACTGCTGTATCGAAAGGAATCTTCAACTCCGTGAGTTGAATGCAATCATCACAAAGAAGTTTCTGACAACGCTTCTCTCTAGTTTTTATGTGAAGATATTTCCTTTTCCACCACAGGCCTGAAAGCGCTCCAAATGTCCACTTGGAGACTCTACGAAAAGAATGTTTCAAAACTGCTCTATAAAAAGCAATGTTATACTCTGGGAGTTGAACACAAGCCTCACAAAGGAGTTTCTGAGAATGCTTCTGTTTACTTTTTACGTGAAAGATATTCCCGTTTCCAAAGAAATCTTCACAGACTTCCACCTATCCATTTGCAGATGCTAGAAAAAGAGAGTTTCAAAACTGCTCTATCAAAAGGAATGTTCAACTCTGTGAGTTGAATGCAGTCATCACAGAGAAGTTTCTGAGAAGGCTTCTGTCTAGATTTTATGTGAAGATATACCCGTTTCGAACGAAGGCCACAAAGTGCTCCAAATATCCACTTGCAGGTCCTCCAACAAGAGTGTTTCAAACGTGAACTATCAAAGGAAGGTTCAACTCTGGACTTTGAATGCAAACGTCAGAAAGATGTTTCTACGAAAGCTTCTGTTTAGTTAGGTGACGTTATCCCGTTTCCAACGAAATCCTCAGAGAGGTCCAAATATCCACCTGCAGATTCTGCAAAAAGTGTGTTTCCAAACTGCTCCACCCAAAGGCATGTTCAGCTCTGTGAGTTAAACTCAATCATCACAAAGTATTTTCTGAGAATGCTTCTGTCCAGTTTTTACATGAAGCTGTTTCCTTTACTACCGTAGGCCTCAAAGCGTTCCAAATCTCCACTTGCAGATACTACGAAAAGAGCGTTTCAACCTGAACTCACAAGGGAAGGTTCAACTCTGTCAGTTGAATGCCAACATCACAAAGAAGTTCTGGGAATGTTTCTCTTCAGTTATGTGAGTTTTATCCCGTTTCCAACGAAATTCTCAGAGAAGTACAAATATCCACTTGCATATTCTACAAAAAGTGTGTTTTGAAAGTGCTCCATCAAAAGATATGCTCAGCTCTGTGAGTTAAACTCAATCATCACAAAGAATTTTCTGAGAATACTTCTGTTTTGTCTTAGGATGAAGTTATTTCCTTTACGACGATAGGCCTCAAAGAGGTCCAAATCTCCACTTGCAGATTCTGCAGAAGGAGTGCTTCAAACCTGAACTATCAGAGAAAGGTTCAACACTGAGGGTTGAATGCAAGCATCACGAAGAAGGTTCTGAGAATGCTTCTGTTTAGATAAGTGAGTTTTCTCCCGTATCCAACGAAATCCTCAGAGAGGTCCAAATATCCACTTGCAGATTCTACAGAAAGTGTGTTTTGAAACTGCTCCAAACAAAGGAATGTTCAGCTCTGTGAGTTGAACTCAATCGTCACAAAGTGTTTCCTGGGAATGCTACTGTCTAGTTTTTATGGGCAGTTATATCCTCTGCTGCCATAGGCCTCAAAGCGGTCCAAATCTCCCCTTTCAGATTCTACCAAAAGTGTGTTTCCAAACGGCTCTATCAAAGGGAATGTTCAACTCTGTGACTTGAATGCAATCATCACAAAGCAGTTTCTGAGAATGCTTCCATGTAGCTTTTATGAGAAGATATTTCCTTTTCCACCCCAGGCCTCGAAGCCCTCCAAATGTCCCCTTGCAGATGCTAGAAAGAGAGGGTTTCAAAGCTGCTCTATCAAAAGGAAGGTACAACTCTGTGAGTTGAATGCAAACATCACAAAGAAGCTCCTGAGCATGCTTCCGTTTAGCTTTCATGGGAAGATTATCCCTTTTCCATCGAAATGTTCAAAGAGGTCCACATATCCGCTTGCAGATTCCACCGAAAGAGTGTTTCCAAACTGCTGTATCAAAAGGAATCTTCAACTCCGTGAGTTGAATGCAATCATCACAAAGAAGTTTCTGACAATGCTTCTCTCTAGTTTTTATGTGAAGATATTTCCTTTTCCACCACAGGCCTGAAAGCGCTCCAAATGTCCACTTGGAGACTCTACGAAAAGAATGTTTCAAAACTGCTCTATGAAAAGCAATGTTATACTCTGGGAGTTGAACACAAGCCTCACAAAGGACTTTCTGAGAATGCTTCTGTTTACTTTTTACGTGAAGATATTCCCGTTTCCAAAGAAATCTTCACAGACTTCCACCTATCCATTTGCAGATGCTAGAAAAAGAGAGTTTCAAAACTGCTCTATCAAAAGGAATGTTCAACTCTGTGAGTTGAATGCAGTCATCACAGAGAAGTTTCTGAGAAGGCTTCTGTCTAGATTTTATGTGAAGATATACCCGTTTCGAACGAAGGCCACAAAGTGCTCCAAATATCCACTTGCAGGTCCTCCAACAAGAGTGTTTCAAACGTGAACTATCAAAGGAAGGTTCAACTCTGGACTTTGAATGCAAACGTCAGAAAGATGTTTCTGCGAAAGCTTCTGTTTAGTTAGGTGACGTTATCCCGTTTCCAACGAAATCCTCAGAGAGGTCCAAATATCCACCTGCAGATTCTGCAAAAAGTGTGTTTCCAAACTGCTCCACCCAAAGGCATGTTCAGCTCTGTGAGTTAAACTCAATCATCACAAAGTATTTTCTGAGAATGCTTCTGTCCAGTTTTTACATGAAGCTGTTTCCTTTACTACCGTAGGCCTCAAAGCGTTCCAAATCTCCACTTGCAGATACTACGAAAAGAGCGTTTCAACCTGAACTCACGAGGGAATGTTCAACTCTGTCAGTTGAATGCCAACATCACAAAGAAGTTCTGGGAATGTTTCTCTTCAGTTATGTGAGTTTTATCCCGTTTCCAACGAAATTCTCAGAGAAGTACAAATATCCACTTGCATATTCTACAAAAAGTGTGTTTTGAATGTGCTCCATCAAAAGATATGCTCAGCTCTGTGAGTTAAACTCAATCATCACAAAGAATTTTCTGAGAATGCTTCTGTCTTGTTTTAGGATGAAGTTATTTCCTTTACGACGATAGGCCTCAAAGAGGTCCAAATCTCCACTTGCAGATTCTGCAGAAGGAGTGTTTCAAACCTGAACTATCAGAGAAAGGTTCAACACTGTGAGTTGAATGCAAGCATCACGAAGAAGGTTCTGAGAATGCTTCTGTTTAGATAGGTGAGTTTTCTCCCGTATCCAACGAAATCCTCAGAGAGGTCCAAATATCCACTTGCAGATTCTACAGAAAGTGTGTTTTGAAACTGCTCCATCCAAAGGAATGTTCAGCTCTGTGAGTTGAACTCAATCGTCACAAAGTGTTTCCTGGGAATGCTACTGTCTAGTTTTTATGGGCAGTTATATCCTCTGCTGCCATAGGCCTCAAAGCGGTCCAAATCTCCCCTTTCAGATTCTACCAAAAGTGTGTTTCCAAACGGCTCTATCAAAGGGAAT
Source organism: Homo sapiens (assembly GCF_000001405.40). NCBI lineage: Eukaryota > Metazoa > Chordata > Mammalia > Primates > Hominidae > Homo > Homo sapiens. The sequence continues at coordinate 122,463,481 of NC_000001.11, read as the reverse complement.
GTTCAACTCTGTGACTTGCATGCAATCATCACAAAGCAGTTTCTGAGAATGCTTCCATGTAGCTTTTATGAGCAGATATTTCCTTTTCCACCCCAGGCCTCGAAGCCCTCCAAATGTCCCCTTGCAGATGCTAGAAAGAGAGGGTTTCAAAGCTGCTCTATCAAAAGGAAAGTACAACTCTGTGAGTTGAATGCAAACATCACAAAGAAGTTCCTGAGCATGCTTCCGTTTAGCTTTTATGGGAAGATTATCCCTTTTCCATTGAAATGTTCAAAGAGGTCCACATATCCGCTTGCAGATTCCACCGAAAGAGTGTTTCCAAACTGCTGTATCAAAAGGAATCTTCCACTCCGTGAGTTGAATGCAATCATCACCAAGAAGTTTCTGACAATGCTTCTCTCTAGTTTTTATGTGAAGATATTTCCTTTTCCACCACAGGCCTGAAAGCGCTCCAAATGTCCACTTGGAGACTCAACGAAAAGAATGTTTCAAAACTGCTCTATGAAAAGCAATGTTATCCTCTGGGAGTTGAACACAAGCCTCACAAAGGAGTTTTTGAGAATGCTTCTGTTTACTTTTTATGCTAGACAGAAGAATTCTCAGTAACTTCCTTTCGTTGTGTGTATTCAACTCACAGAGTTGAACGATCCTTTACACAGAGCAGACTTGAAACACTCTTTTTCTGGAATTTGCAAGTGGAGATTTCAGCCGCTTTGTGGTAAATGGTAGAAAAGGAAATATCTTCGTATAAAAACTAGATAGATCTGTTTACTTTTTACGTGAAGATATTCCCGTTTCCAAAGAAATCTTCACAGACTTCCACCTATCCATTTGCAGATGCTAGAAAAAGAGAGTTTCAAAACTGCTCTATCAAAAGGAATGTTCAACTCTGTGAGTTGAATGCAGTCATCACAGAGAAGTTTCTGAGAAGGCTTCTGTCTAGATTTTATGTGAAGATATACCCGTTTCGAACAAAGGCCACAAAGTGCTCCAAATATCCACTTGCAGGTCCTCCAACAAGAGTGTTTCAAACGTGAACTATCAAAGGAAGGTTCAACTCTGGACTTTGAATGCAAACGTCAGAAAGATGTTTCTGCGAAAGCTTCTGTTTAGTTAGGTGACGTTATCCCGTTTCCAACGAAATCCTCAGAGAGGTCCAAATATCCACCTGCAGATTCTGCAAAAAGTGTGTTTCCAAACTGCTCCACCCAAAGGCATGTTCAGCTCTGTGAGTTAAACTCAATCATCACAAAGTATTTTCTGAGAATGCTTCTGTCCAGTTTTCACATGAAGCTGTTTCCTTTACTACCGTAGGCCTCAAAGCGTTCCAAATCTCCACTTGCAGATACTACGAAAAGAGCGTTTCAACCTGAACTCACAAGGGAAGGTTCAACTCTGTCAGTTGAATGCCAACATCACAAAGAAATTCTGGGAATGTTTCTCTTCAGTTATGTGAGTTTTATCCCGTTTCCAACGAAATTCTCAGAGAAGTACAAATATCCACTTGCATATTCTACAAAAAGTGTGTTTTGAAAGTGCTCCATCAAAAGATATGCTCAGCTCTGTGAGTTAAACTCAATCATCACAAAGAATTTTCTGAGAATGCTTCTGTCTTGTTTTAGGATGAAGTTATTTCCTTTACGACGATAGGCCTCAAAGAGGTCCAAATCTCCACTTGCAGATTCTGCAGAAGGAGTGTTTCAAACCTGAACTATCAGAGAAAGGTTCAACACTGTGAGTTGAATGCAAGCATCACGAAGAAGGTTCTCAGAATGCTTCTGTTTAGATAGGTGAGGTTTCTCCCGTATCCAACGAAATCCTCAGAGAGGTCCAAATATCCACTTGCAGATTCTACAGAAAGTGTGTTTTGAAACTGCTCCATCCAAAGGAATGTTGAGCTCTGTGAGTTGAACTCAATCGTCACAAAGTGTTTCCTGGGAATGCTACTGTCTAGTTTTTATGGGCAGTTATATCCTCTGCTGCCATAGGCCTCAAAGCGGTCCAAATCTCCCCTTTCAGATTCTACCAAAAGTGTGTTTCCAAACGGCTCTATCAAAGGGAATGTTCAACACCGTGACTTGAATGCAATCATCACAAAGCAGTTTCTGAGAATGCTTCCATGTAGCTTTTATGAGCAGATATTTCCTTTTCCACCCCAGGCCTCGAAGCCCTCCAAATGTCCCCTTGCAGATGGTAGAAAGAGAGGGTTTCAAAGCTGCTCTATCAAAAGGAAAGTACAACTGTGTGAGTTGAATGCAAACATCACAAAGAAGTTCCTGAGCATGCTTCCGTTTAGCTTTCATGGGAAGATTATCCCTTTTCCATCGAAATGTTCAAAGAGGTCCACATATCCGCTTGCAGATTCCACCGAAAGAGTGTTTCCAAACTGCTGTATCAAAAGGAATCTTCAACTCCGTGAGTTGAATGCAATCATCACAAAGAAGTTTCTGACAATGCTTCTCTCTAGTTTTTATGTGAAGATATTTCCTTTTCCACCGCAGGCCTGAAAGCGCTCAAAATGTCCACTTGCAGACCCTACGAAAGGAATGTTTCAAAACTGCTCTATGAAAAGCAATGTTATACTCTGGGAGTTGAACACAAGCCTCACAAAGGAGTTTCTGAAAATGCTTCTGTTTACTTTTTACGTGAAGATATTCCCGTTTCCAAAGAAATCTTCACAGACTTCCACCTATCCATTTGCAGATGCTTGAAAAAGAGAGTTTCAAAACTGCTCTATCAAAAGGAATGTTCAACTCTGTGAGTTGAATGCAGTCATCACAGAGAAGTTTCTGAGAAGGCTTCTGTCTAGATTTTATGTGAAGATATACCCGTTTCGAACGAAGGCCACAAAGTGCTCCAAATATCCACTTGCAGGTCCTCCAACAAGAGTGTTTCAAACGTGAACTATCAAAGGAAGGTTCAACTCTGGACTTTGAATGCAAACGTCAGAAAGATGTTTCTGCGAAAGCTTCTGTTTAGTTAGGTGACGTTATCCCGTTTCCAAGGAAATCCTCAGAGAGGTCCAAATATCCACCTGCAGATTCTGCAAAAAGTGTGTTTCCAAACTGCTGCACCCAAAGGCATGTTCAGCTCTGTGAGTTAAACTCAATCATCACAAAGTATTTTCTGAGAATGCTTCTGTCCAGTTTTTACATGAAGCTGTTTCCTTTACTACCGTAGGCCTCAAAGCGTTCCAAATCTCCACTTGCAGATACTACGAAAAGAGCGTTTCAACCTGAACTCACGAGGGAAGGTTCAACTCTGTCAGTTGAATGCCAACATCACAAAGAAGTTCTGGGAATGTTTCTCTTCAGTTATGTGAGTTTTATCCCGTTTCCAACGAAATTCTCAGAGAAGTACAAATATCCACTTGCATATTCTACAAAAAGTGTGTTTTGAAAGTGCTCCATCAAAAGATATGCTCAGCTCTGTGAGTTAAACTCAATCATCACAAAGAATTTTCTGAGAATGCTTCTGTCTTGTTTTAGGATGAAGTTATTTCCTTTACGACGATAGGCCTCAAAGAGGTCCAAATCTCCACTTGCAGATTCTGCAGAAGGAGTGTTTCAAACCTGAACTATCAGAGAAAGGTTCAACACTGTGAGTTGAATGCAAGCATCACGAAGAAGGTTCTGAGAATGCTTCTGTTTAGATAGGTGAGTTTTCTCCCGTATCCAACGAAATCCTCAGAGAGGTCCAAATATCCACTTGCAGATTCTACAGAAAGTGTGTTTTGAAACTGCTCCATCCAAAGGAATGTTCAGCTCTGTGAGTTGAACTCAATCGTCACAAAGTGTTTCCTGGGAATGCTACTGTCTAGTTTTTATGGGCAGTTATATCCTCTGCTGCCATAGGCCTCAAAGCGGTCCAAATCTCCCCTTTCAGATTCTACCAAAAGTGTGTTTCCAAACGGCTCTATCAAAGGGAATGTTCAACTCTGTGACTTGAATGCAATCATCACAAAGCAGTTTCTGAGAATGCTTCCATGTAGCTTTTAGGAGAAGATATTTCCTTTTCCACCCCAGGCCTCGAAGCCCTCCAAATGTCCCCTGGCAGATGCTAGAAAGAGAGGGTTTCAAAGCTGCTCTATCAAAAGGAAAGTACAACTCTGTGAGATGAATGCAAACATCACAAAGAAGTTCCTGAGCATGCTTCCGTTTAGCTTTTATGGGAAGATTATCCCTTTTCCATCGAAATGTTCAAAGAGGTCCACATATCCGCTTGCAGATTCCACCGAAAGAGTGTTTCCAAACTGCTGTTTCAAAAGGAATCTTCAACTCCGTGAGTTGAATGCAATCATCACAAAGAAGTTTCTGACAACGCTTCTCTCTAGTTTTTATGTGAAGATATTTCCTTTTCCACCACAGGCCTGAAAGCGCTCCAAATGTCCACTTGGAGACTCTACGAAAAGAATGTTTCAAAACTGCTCTATGAAAAGCAATGTTATACTCTGGGAGATGAACACAAGCCTCACAAAGGAGTTTCTCAGAATGCTTCTGTTTACTTTTTACGTGAAGATATTCCCGTTTCCAAAGAAATCTTCACAGACTTCCACCTATCCATTTGCAGATGCTAGAAAAAGAGAGTTTCAAAACTGCTCTATCAAAAGGAATGTTCAACTCTGTGAGTTGAATGCAGTCATCACAGAGAAGTTTCTGAGAAGGCTTCTGTCTAGATTTTATGTGAAGATATACCCGTTTCGAACAAAGGCCACAAAGTGCTCCAAATATCCACTTGCGGGTCCTCCAACAAGAGTGTTTCAAACGTGAACTATCAAAGGAAGGTTCAACTCTGGACTTTGAATGCAAACGTCAGAAAGATGTTTCAGCGAAAGCTTCTGTTTAGTTAGGTGACGTTATCCCGTTTCCAACGAAATCCTCAGGGAGGTCCAAATATCCACCTGCAGATTCTGCAAAAAGTGTGTTTCCAAACTGCTCCACCCAAAGGCATGTTCAGCTCTGTGAGTTAAACTCAATCATCACAAAGTATTTTCTGAGAATGCTTCTGTCCAGTTTTTACATGAAGCTGTTCCCTTTACTACCGTAGGCCTCAAAGCGTTCCAAATCTCCACTTGCAGATACTACGAAAAGAGCGTTTCAACCTGAACTCACAAGGGAAGGTTCAACTCTGTCAGTTTAATGCCAACATCACAAAGAGGTTCTGGGAATGTTTCTCTTCAGTTATGTGAGTTTTATCCCGTTTCCAACGAAATTCTCAGAGAAGTACAAATATCCACTTGCATATTCTACAAAAAGTGTGTTTTGAAAGTGCTCCATCAAAAGATATGCTCAGCTCTGTGAGTTAAACTCAATCATCACAAAGAATTTTCTGAGAATGCTTCTGTCTTGTTTTAGGATGAAGTTATTTCCTTTACGACGATAGGCCTCAAAGAGGTCCAAATCTCCACTTGCAGATTCTGCAGAAGGAGTGTTTCAAACCTGAACTATCAGAGAAAGGTTCAACACTGTGAGTTGAATGCAAGCATCACGAAGAAGGTTCTGAGAATGCTTCTGTTTAGATAGGTGAGTTTTCTCCCGTATCCAACGAAATCCTCAGAGAGGTCCAAATATCCACTTGCAGATTCTACAGAAAGTGTGTTTTGAAACTGCTCCATCCAAAGGAATGTTCAGCTCTGTGAGTTGAACTCAATCGTCACAAAGTGTTTCCTGGGAATGCTACTGTCTAGTTTTTATGGGCAGTTATATCCTCTGCTGCCATAGGCCTCAAAGCGGTCCAAATCTCCCCTTTAAGATTCTACCAAAAGTGTGTTTCCAAACGGCTCTATCAAAGGGAATGTTCAACTCTGTGACTTGAATGCAATCATCACAAAGCAGTTTCTGAGAATGCTTCCATGTAGCTTTTATGAGCAGATATTTCCTTTTCCACCCCAGGCCTCGAAGCCCTCCAAATGTCCCCTTGCAGATGCTAGAAAGAGAGGGTTTCAAAGCTGCTCTATCAAAAGGAAAGTACAACTCTGTGAGTTGAATGCAAACATCACAAAGAAGTTCCTGAGCATGCTTCCGTTTAGCTTTTATGGGAAGATTATCCCTTTTCCATCGAAATGTTCAACGAGGTCCACATATCCGCTTGCAGATTCCACCGAAAGAGTGTTTCCAAACTGCTGTATCAAAAGGAATCTTCAACTCCGTGAGTTGAATGCAATCATCACAAAGAAGTTTCTGACAACGCTTCTCTCTAGTTTTCATGTGAAGATATTTCCTTTGCCACCACAGGCCTGAAAGCACTCCAAATGTGCACTTGGAGACTCTACGAAAAGAATGTTTCAAAACTGCTCTATGAAAAGCAATGTTATACTCTGGGAGATGAACACAAGCCTCACAAAGGAGTTTCTGAGAATGCTTCTGTTTACTTTTTACGTGAAGATATTCCCGTTTCCAAAGAAATCTTCACAGACTTCCACCTATCCATTTGCAGATGCTAGAAAAAGAGAGTTTCAAAACTGCTCTATCAAAAGGAATGTTCAACTCTGTGAGTTGAATGCAGTCATCACAGAGAAGTTTCTGAGAAGGCTTCTGTCTAGATTTTATGTGAAGATATACCCGTTTCGAACGAAGGCCACAAAGTGCTCCAAATATCCACTTGCAGGTCCTCCAACAAGAGTGTTTCAAACGTGAACTATCAAAGGAAGGTTCAACTCTGGACTTTGAATGCAAACGTCAGAAAGATGTTTCTGCGAAAGCTTCTGTTTAGTTAGGTGACGTTATCCCGTTTCCAACGAAATCCTCAGAGAGGTCCAAATATCCACCTGCAGATTCTGCAAAAAGTGTGTTTCCAAACTGCTCCACCCAAAGGCATGTTCAGCTCTGTGAGTTAAACTCAATCATCACAAAGTATTTTCTGAGAATGCTTCTGTCCAGTTTTTACATGAAGCTGTTTCCTTTACTACCGTAGGCCTCAAAGCGTTCCAAATCTCCACTTGCAGATACTACGAAAAGAGCGATTCAACCTGAACTCACAAGGGAAGGTTCAACTCTATCAGTTGAATGCCAACATCACAAAGAAGTTCTGAGAATGTTTCTCTTCAGTTATGTGAGTTTTATCCCGTTTCCAACGAAATTCTCAGAGAAGTACAAATATCCACTTGCATATTCTACAAAAAGTGTGTTTTGAAAGTGCTCCATCAAAAGATATGCTCAGCTCTGTGAGTTAAACTCAATCATCACAAAAATTTTCTGAGAATGCTTCTGTCTTGTTTTAGGATGAAGTTATTTCCTTTACGACGATAGGCCTCAAAGAGGTCCAAATCTCCACTTGCAGATTCTGCAGAAGGAGTGTTTCAAACCTGAACTATAAGACAAAGGTTCAACACTGTGAGTTGAATGCAAGCATCACGAAGAAGGTTCTGAGAATGCTTCTGTTTAGATAGGTGAGTTTTCTCCCGTATCCAACGAAATCCTCAGAGAGGTCCAAATATCCACTTGCAGATTCTACAGAAAGTGTGTTTTGAAACTGCTCCATCCAAAGGAATGTTCAGCTCTGTGAGTTGAACTCAATCGTCACAAAGTGTTTCCTGAGAATGCTACTGTCTAGTTTTTATGGGCAGTTATATCCTCTGCTGCCATAGGCCTCAAAGCGGTCCAAATCTCCCCTTTCAGATTCTACCAAAAGTGTGTTTCCAAACGGCTCTATCAAAGGGAATGTTCAACTCTGTGACTTGAATGCAATCATCACAAAGCAGTTTCTGATAATGCTTCCATGTAGCTTTAATGAGCAGATATTTCCTTTTCCACCCCAGGCCTCGAAGCCCTCCAAATGTCCCCTTGCAGATGCTAGAAAGAGAGGGTTTCAAAGCTGCTCTATCAAAAGGAAAGTACAACTCTGTGAGTTGAATGCAAACATCACAAAGAAGCTCCTGAGCATGCTTCCGTTTAGCTTTTATGGGAAGATTATCCCTTTTCCATCGAAATGTTCAAAGAGGTCCACATATCCGCTTGCAGATTCCACCGAAAGAGTGTTTCCAAACTGCTGTATCAAAAGGAATCTTCAACTCCGTGAGTTGAATGCAATCATCACAAAGAAGTTTCTGACAACGCTTCTCTCTAGTTTTTATGTGAAGATATTTCCTTTTCCACCACAGGCCTGAAAGCGCTCCAAATGTCCACTTGGAGACTCTACGAAAAGAATGTTTCAAAACTGCTCTATGAAAAGCAATGTTATACTCTGGGAGTTGAACACAAGCCTCACAAAGGACTTTCTGAGAATGCTTCTGTTTACTTTTTACGTGAAGATATTCCCGTTTCCAAAGAAATCCTCACAGAGTTCCACCTATCCATTTGCAGATGCTAGAAAAAGAGAGTTGCAAAACTGCTCTATCAAAAGGAATGTTCAACTCTGTGAGTTGAATGCAATCATCACAGAGAAGTTTCTGAGAAGGCTTCTGTCTAGATTTTATGTGAAGATATACCCGTTTCGAACAAAGGCCACAAAGTGCTCCAAATATCCACTTGCAGGTCCTCCAACAAGAGTGTTTCAAACGTGAACTATCAAAGGAAGGTTCAACTCTGGACTTTGAATGCAAACGTCAGAAAGATGTTTCTGCGAAAGCTTCTGTTTAGTTAGGTGACGTTATCCCGTTTCCAACGAAATCCTCAGAGAGGTCCAAATATCCACCTGCAGATTCTGCAAAAAGTGTGTTTCCAAACTGCTCCACCCAAAGGCATGTTCAGCTCTGTGAGTTAAACTCAATCATCACAAAGTATTTTCTGAGAATGCTTCTGTCCAGTTTTTACAGGAAGCTATTTCCTTTACTACCGTAGGCCCCAAAGCGGTCCAAATCTCCACTTGCAGATTCTACAAAAAGAGTGTCTCAACCTCAACTCACAAAGGAAGGTTCAAATCTGTGAGTTGAATGCCAACATCACAAAGAAGTTTCTGAGAATGCTTCTGTTTAGTTAAGTGAGGTTTATCCCGTTTCCAATGAAATCCTCAGAGAAGTCCAAATATCCACTTGCATATTCTAAAAAAAGTGTGTTTCGAAACTGCTCCATCAAAAGGAATGCTCAGCTCTGTGAGTTAAACTCAATCATCACAAAGAATTTTCTGAGAATGCATCTGTCTTCTTTTTAGATGAAGATATTTCCTTTACTACGATAGGCCTCAAAGAGGTCCAAATCTCCACTTGCAGATTCTACAGAAAGAGTGTTTCAAACCTGAACTATCAGAGGAAGGTTCAACACTGTGAGTTGAATGCAAACATCACGAAGAAGGTTCTGAGAATGCTTCTGTTTAGATAGGTGAGGTTTCTCCCGTTTCCAACGAAATCCTCAGAGAGGTCCAAATATCCACTTGCAGATTCTACAAAAAGTGTGTTTTGAAACTGCTCCATCCAAAGGAATGTTCAGCTCTGTGAGTTGAACTCAATCGTCACAAATTGTTTCCTGAGAATGCTACTGTCTAGTTTTTATGTGCAGTTATATCCTCTGCTTCCATAGGCCTCAAATCGGTCCAAGTCTCCCCTTTCAGATTCTACCAAAAGTGTGTTTCCAAACGGCTCTATCAAAGGGAATGTTCAACTCTGTGACTTGAATGCAATCATCACAAAGCAGTTTCTGAGAATGCTTCCATGTAGCTTTTATGAGCAGATATTTCCTTTTCCACCCCAGGCCTCGAAGCCCTCCAAATGTCCCCTTGCAGATGCTAGAAAGAGAGGGTTTCAAAGCTGCTCTATCAAAAGGAAAGTACAACTCTGTGAGTTGAATGCAAACATCACAAAGAAGTTCCTGAGAATGCTTCCGTTTAGCTCTTATGGGAAGATTATCCCTTTTCCATCGAAATGTTCAAAGAGGTCCACATATCCGCTTGCAGATTCCACCGAAAGAGTGTTTCCAAACTGCTGTATCAAAAGGAATCTTCAACTCCGTGAGTTGAATGCAATCATCACAAAGAAGTTTCTGACAACGCTTCTCTCTAGTTTTTATGTGAAGATATTTCCTTTTCCACCACAGGCCTGAAAGCGCTCCAAATGTCCACTTGGAGACTCTACGAAAAGAATGTCTCAAAACTGCTCTATGAAAAGCAATGTTATATTCTGGGAGTTGAACACAAGCCTCACAAAGGAGTTTCTGAGAATGCTTCTGTTTACTTTTTACGTGAGGATATTCCCGTTTCCAAAGAAATCTTCACAGAGTTCCACCTTCCCTTTGCAGATGCTAGAAAAAGAGAGTTTCAAAACTGCTCTATCAAAAGGAATGTTCAACTCTGTGAGTTGAATACAATCATCACAGAGAAGTTTCTGAGAAGGCTTCTGGCTAGATTTTATGTGAAGATATACCCGTTTCGAACAAAGGCCACAAAGTGCTCCAAATATCCTCTTGCGGGTCCTCCAACAAGAGTGTTTCAAACGTGAACTATCAAAGGAAGGTTCAAATCTGGACTTTGAATGCAAACGTCAGAAAGATGTTTCTGCGAAAGCTTCTGTTTAGTTAGGTGACGTTATCCCGTTTCCAACGAAATCCTCAGAGAGGTCCAAATATCCACCTGCAGATTCTGCAAAAAGTGTGTTTCCAAACTGCTGCACCCAAAGGCATGTTCAGCTCTGTGAGTTAAACTCAATCATCACAAAGTATTTTCTGAGAATGCTTCTGTCCAGTTTTTACATGAAGCTGTTTCCTTTACTACCGTAGGCCTCAAAGCGTTCCAAATCTCCACTTGCAGATACTACGAAAAGAGCGTTTCAACCTGAACTCACAAGGGAAGGTTCAACTCTGTCAGTTGAATGCCAACATCACAAAGAAATTCTGGGAGTGTTTCTCTTCAGTTATGTGAGTTTTATCCCGTTTCCAACGAAATTCTCAGAGAAGTACAAATATCCACTTGCATATTCTACAAAAAGTGTGTTTTGAAAGTGCTCCATCAAAAGATATGCTCAGCTCTGTGAGTTAAACTCAATCATCACAAAGAATTTTCTGAGAATGCTTCTGTCTTGTTTTAGGATGAAGTTATTTCCTTTACGACGATAGGCCTCAAAGAGGTCCAAATCTCCACTTGCAGATTCTGCAGAAGGAGTGTTTCAAACCTGAACTATCAGAGAAAGGTTCAACACTGTGAGTTGAATGCAAGCATCACGAAGAAGGTTCTGAGAATGCTCTGTTTAGATAGGTGAGTTTTCTCCCGTATCCAACGAAATCCTCAGAGAGGTCCAAATATCCCCTTGCAGATTCTACAGAAAGTGTGTTTTGAAACTGCTCCATCCAAAGGAATGTTCAGCACTGTGAGTTGAACTCAATCGTCACAAAGTGTTTCCTGGGAATGCTAACTGTCTAGTTTTTATGTGCAGTTATATCCTCTGCTGCCATAGGCCTCAAAGCGGTCCAAATCTCCCCTTTCAGATTCTACCAAAAGTGTGTTTCCAAACGGCTGTATGAAAGGGAATGTTCAACTCTGTGACTTGAATGCAATCATCACAAAGCAGTTTCTGAGAATGCTTCCATGTAGCTTTTATGAGCAGATATTTCCTTTTCCACGCCAGGCCTCGAAGCCCTCCAAATGTCCCCTTGCAGATGCTAGAAAGAGAGGGTTTCAAAGCTGCTCTATCAAAAGGAAAGTACAACTCTGTGAGTTGAATGCAAACATCACAAAGAACTTCCTGAGCATGCTTCCGTTTAGCTTTTATGGGAAGATAATCCCTTTTCCATCGAAATGTTCAAAGAGGTCCACATATCCGCTTGCAGATTCCACCGAAAGAGTGTTTCCAAACTGCTGTATCAAAAGGAATCTTCAACTCCGTGAGTTGAATGCAGTCATCACAAAGAAGTTTCTGACAACGCTTCTCTCTAGTTTTTATGTGAAGATATTTCCTTTTCCACCACAGGCCTGAAAGCGCTCCAAATGTCCACTTGGAGACTCTACGAAAAGAATGTTTCAAAACTGTTCTATGAAAAGCAAGGTTAAACTCTGGGAGTTGAACACATGCCTCACAAAGAAGTTTCTGAGAAGGCATCTGTTTACTTTTTACGTGAAGATATTCCCGTTTCCAAAGCAAATCTTCACAGACTTCCACCTATCCATTTGCAGATGCTAGAAAAAGAGAGTTTCAAAACTGCTCTATCAAAAGGAATGTTCAACTCTGTGAGTTGAATGCAGTCATCACAGAGAAGTTTCTGAGAAGGCTTCTGTCTAGATTTTATGTGAAGATATACCCGTTTCCAACGAAGGCCACAAAGTGCTCCAAATATCCACTTGCAGGTCCTCCAACAAGAGTGTTTCAACCGTGAACTATCAAAGCAAAGGTCAGCTCTGGACTTTGAATGCAAACGTCAGAAAGAAGTTTCTGCGAAAGCTTCTGTTTAGTTAGGTGACGTTATCCCGTTTCCAAAGAAATCCTCAGAGAGGTCCAAATGTCCACCTGCAGGGTCCACAAAAAGTGTGTTTCCAAACTGCTCCACCCAAAGGAATGTTCAGCTGTGTGAGTTAAACTCAATCATCACAAAGTATTTTCTGAGAATGCTTCTGTCCAGTTTTTACATGAAGCTGTTTCCTTTACTACCGTAGGCCTCAAAGCGTTCCAAATCTCCACTTGCAGATACTACGAAAAGAGCGATTCAGCCTGAACTCACAAGGGAAGGTTCAATTCTGTCATTTGAATGCCAACATTACAAAGAAGTTCTGAGAATGTTTCTCCTCACCTATGTGAGGTTTATCCCGTTTCCAACGAAATTCTCAGAGAAGTCCAAATATCCACTTGGATATTCTACAAAAAGTGTGTTTTGAAAATGCTCCATCAAAAGATATGCTCAGCTCTGTGAGTTAAACCCAATCATCACAAAGAATTTTCTGAGAATGCTTCTGTCTTGTTTTTAGATGAAGTTCTTTCATTTACTACGATAGGCCTCAAAGAGGTCCAAATCTCGACTTGCAGATTCTGCAGAAGGAGTGTTTAAAACCTGAACTATCAGAGAAAGGTTCAACACTGTGAGTTGAATGCAAGCATCAGGAAGAAGGTTCTGAGAATGCTTCTGTCTTGTTTTTAGATGAAGTTCTTTCCTTTACTACGATAGGCCTCAAAGAGGTCCAAATCTCCACTTGCAGATTCTGCAGAAGGAGTGTTTCAAACCTGAACTATCAGAGAAAGGTTCAACACTGTGAGTTGAATGCAAGCATCACGAAGAAGGTTCTGAGAATGCTTCTGTTTACATAGGTGAGTTTTCTCCCGTATCCAATGAAATCCTCAGAGCGGTCCAAATCTCCACTTGCAGATTCTACAAAAAGTGTGTTTTGAAACTGCTCCATCCAAAGGAATGTTCAGCTCTGTGAATTGAACTCAATCGTCACAAAGTGTTTCCTGGGAATGCTCCTGTCTCGCTTTTATGTGCAGTTATATCCTCTACTGCCATAGGCCTCAAAGCGGTCCAAATCTCCCCTTTCAGATTCTACCAAAAGTGTGTTTCCAAACGGCCCCATCAAAGGGGATGTTCAACTCGGTGACTTGAATGCAATCATCACAAAGCAGCTTCTGAGAATGCTTCCATCTAGCTTTTATGGGAAGATATTTCCTTTTCCACCACAGGCCGCGAAGCCCTCCAAATGTCCACTTGCAGGTTCTAGAAAGAGAGGGTTTCAAAGCGGCTCTATCTAAAGGAAAGTACAACTCTGTGAGTTGAATGCAAACATCACAAAGAAGTTTCTGAGAATGTTTCCGTTTAGCTTTTATGGGAAGATTATCCCTTTTCCATCGAAATCTTCAAAGAGGTCCAAATATCAGCTTGCAGATTCCACCGAAAGAGTGATTCCAAACTGCTGTATCAAAACGAATGTTCAACTCAGTGAGGTGAATGCAATCATCACAAAGAAGTTTCTGACAATGCTTCTCTCTAGTTTTTATGTGAAGATATTTCCTTTTCCACCACAGGCCTGAAAGCGCTCCAAATGTCCACTTGGAGACTCTACGAAAAGAATGTTTCAAAACTGCTCTATGAAAAGCAATGTTATACTCTGGGAGTTGAACACAAGCCTCACAAAGGAGTTTCTGAGAATGCTTCTGTTTACTTTTTACGTGAAGATATTCCCGTTTCCAAAGAAATCTTCACAGAGTTCCACCTATCCCTTTGCAGATGCTAGAAAAAGAGAGTTTCAAAACTGCTCTATCAAAAGGAATGTTCAACTCTGTGAGTTGAATGCAATTATCACAGAGAAGTTTCTGAGAAGGCTTCTGTCTAGATTTTATGTGAAGATATACCCGTTTCGAACGAAGGCCACAAAGTGCTCCAAATATCCACTTGCAGGTCCTCCAACAAGAGTGTTTCAAACGTGAACTATCAAAGGAAGGTTCAACTCTGGACTTTGAATGCAAACGTCAGAAAGATGTTTCTGCGAAAGCTTCTGTTTAGTTAGGTGACGTTATCCCTTTTCCAACGAAATCCTCAGAGAGGTCCAAATGTCCACCTGCAGAGTCTACAAAACGTGTGTTTCCAAACTGCTCCACCCAAAGGAATGTTCAGCTCTGTGAGTTAAACTCAATCATCACAAAGTATTTTCTGAGAATGCTTCTGTCCAGTTTTTACATGAAGCTGTTTCCTTTACTACCGTAGGCCTCAAAGCGTTACAAATATCCACTTGCAGATACTACGAAAAGAGCGTTTCAACCTGAACTCACAAGGGAAGGTTCAACTCTGTCAGTTGAATGCCAACATCACAAAGAAGTTCTGGGAATGTTTCTCTTCAGTTATGTGAGGTTTATCCCGTTTCCAAAGAAATTCTCAGAGAAGTCCAAATATCCACTTGCATATTCTACAAAAAGTGTGTTTTGAACATGCTCCATCAGAAGATATGCTCAGCTCTGTGACGTAAACTCAATCATTGCAAAGAATTTTCTGAGAATGCTTCTGTCTTGTTTTAGGATGAAGTTATTTCCTTTATTACGATAGGCCTCAAAGAGGTCCAAATCTCCACTTGCAGATTCTGCAGAAGGAGTGTTTCAAACCTGAACTATCAGAGAAAGGTTCAACACTGTGAGTTGAATGCAAGCATCACGAAGAAGGTTCTGAGAATGCTTCTGTTTAGATAGGTGAGTTTTCTCCCGTATCCAACGAAATCCTCAGAGAGGTCCAAATATCCACTTGCAGATTCTACAGAAAGTGTGTTTTGAAACTGCTCCATCCAAAGGAATGTTGAGCTCTGTGAGTTGAACTCAATCGTCACAAAGTGTTTCCTGGGAATGCTACTGTCTAGTTTTTATGGGCAGTTATATCCTCTGCTGCCATAGGCCTCAAAGCGGTCCAAATCTCCCCTTTCAGATTCTACCAAAAGTGTGTTTCCAAACGGCTCTATCAAAGGGAATGTTCAACTCTGTGACTTGCATGCAATCATCACAAAGCAGTTTCTGAGAATGCTTCCATGTAGCTTTTATGAGCAGATATTTCCTTTTCCACCCCAGGCCTCGAAGCCCTCCAAATGTCCCCTTGCAGATGCTAGAAAGAGAGGGTTTCAAAGCTGCTCTATCAAAAGGAAAGTACAACTCTGTGAGTTGAATGCAAACATCACAAAGAAGTTCCTGAGCATGCTTCCGTTTAGCTTTCATGGGAAGATTATCCCTTTTCCATCGAAATGTTCAAAGAGGTCCACATATCCGCTTGCAGATTCCACCGAAAGAGTGTCTCCAAACTGCTGTATCAAAAGGAATCTTCAACTCCGTGAGTTGAATGCAATCATCACAAAGAAGTTTCTGACAATGCTTCTCTCTCTAGTTTTTATGTGAAGATATTTCCTTTTCCACCACAGGCCTGAAAGCGCTCCAAATGTCCACTTGGAGACTCTACGAAAAGAATGTTTCAAAACTGCTCTATGAAAAGCAATGTTATACTCTGGGAGTTGAACACAAGCCTCACAAAGGAGTTTCTGAGAATGCTTCTGTTTACTTTTTACGTGAAGATATTCCCGTTTCCAAAGAAATCTTCACAGACTTCCACCTATCCATTTGCAGATGCTAGAAAAAGAGAGTTTCAAAACTGCTCTATCAAAAGGAATGTTCAACTCTGTGAGTTGAATGCAGTCATCACAGAGAAGTTTCTGAGAAGGCTTCTGTCTAGATTTTATGTGAAGATATACCCGTTTCGAACAAAGGCCACAAAGTGCTCCAAATATCCACTTGCAGGTCCTCCAACAAGAGTGTTTCAAACGTGAACTATCAAAGGTAAGGTTCAACTCTGGACTTTGAATGCAAACGTCAAAAAGATGTTTCTGCGAAAGCTTCTGTTTAGTTAGGTGACGTTATCCCGTTTCCAACGAAATCCTCAGAGAGGTCCAAATATCCACCTGCAGATTCTGCAAAAAGTGTGTTTCCAAACTGCTCCACCCAAAGGCATGTTCAGCTCTGTGAGTTAAACTCAATCATCACAAAGTATTTTCTGAGAATGCTTCTGTCCAGTTTTTACATGAAGCTGTTTCCTTTACTACCGTAGGCCTCAAAGCGTTCCAAATCTCCACTTGCAGATACTACGAAAAGGGCGTTTCAACCTGAACTCACAAGGGAAGGTTCAACTCTGAGAGTTGAATGCCAACATCACAAAGAAGTTCTGGGAATGTTTCTCTTCAGTTATGTGAGGTTTATCCCGTTTCCAACGAAATTCTCAGAGAAGTCCAAATATCCACTTGCATATTCCACAAAAAGTGTGTTTTGAACATACTCCATCAGAAGATATGCTCACCTCTGTGAGTTAAATTCAATCATCGCAAAGAATTTTCTGAGAATGCTTCTGTCTTGTTTTAGGATGAAGTTATTTCCTTTACTACGATAGGCCTCAAAAGGTCCAAATCTCCACTTGCAGATTCTGCAGAAGGAGTGTTTCAAACCTGAACTATCAGAGAAAGGTTCAACACTGTGAGTTGAATGCAAGCATCACGAAGAAGGTTCTGAGAATGCTTCTGTTTAGATAGGTGAGTTTTCTCCCGTATCCAACGAAATCCTCAGAGAGGTCCAAATATCCACTTGCAGATTCTACAGAAAGTGTGTTTTGAAACTGCTCCATCCAAAGGAATGTTCAGCTCTGTGAGTTGAACTCAATCGTCACAAAGTGTTTCCTGGGAATGCTACTGTCTAGTTTTTATGGGCAGTTACATCCTCTGCTGCCATAGGCCTCAAAGCGGTCCAAATCTCCCCTTTCAGATTCTACCAAAAGTGTGTTTCCAAACGGCTCTATCAAAGGGAATGTTCAACTCTGTGACTTGAATGCAATCATCACAAAGCAGTTTCTGAGAATGCTTCCATGTAGCTTTAATGAGCAGATATTTCCTTTTCCACCCCAGGCCTCGAAGCCCTCCAAATGTCCCCTTGCAGATGCTAGAAAGAGAGGGTTTCAAAGCTGCTCTATCAAAAGGAAAGTACAACTCTGTGAGTTGAATGCAAACATCACAAAGAAGCTCCTGAGCATGCTTCCGTTTAGCTTTTATGGGAAGATTATCCCTTTTCCATCGAAATGTTCAAAGAGGTCCACATATCCGCTTGCAGATTCCACCGAAAGAGTGTTTCCAAACTGCTGTATCAAAAGGAATCTTCAACTCCGTGAGTTGAATGCAATCATCACAAAGAAGTTTCTGACAACGCTTCTCTCTAGTTTTTATGTGAAGATATTTCCTTTTCCACCACAGGCCTGAAAGCGCTCCAAATGTCCACTTGGAGACTCTACGAAAAGAATGTTTCAAAACTGCTCTATGAAAAGCAATGTTATACTCTGGGAGTTGAACACAAGCCTCACAAAGGAGTTTCTGAGAATGCTTCTGTTTACTTTTTACGTGAAGATATTCCCGTTTCCAAAGAAATCTTCACAGGCTTCCACCTATCCATTTGCAGATGCTAGAAAAAGAGAGTTTCAAAACTGCTCTATCAAAAGGAATGTTCAACTCTGTGAGTTGAATGCAGTCATCACAGAGAAGTTTCTGAGAAGGCTTCTGTCTAGATTTTATGTGAAGATATACCCGTTTCGAACAAAGGCCACAAAGTGCTCCAAATATCCACTTGCAGGTCCTCCAACAAGAGTGTTTCAAACGTGAACTATCAAAGGAAGGTTCAACTCTGGACTTTGAATGCAAACGTCAGAAAGATGTTTCTGCGAAAGCTTCTGTTTAGTTAGGTGACGTTATCCCGTTTCCAAAGAAATCCTCAGAGAGGTCCAAATATCCACCTGCAGAGTCTACAAAAAGTGTGTTTCAAAACTGCTCCACCCAAAGGAATGCTCAGCTCTGTGAGTTAAACTCAATCATCCCAAAGTATTTTCTGAGAATGCTTCTGTCCAGTTTTTACATGAAGCTGTTTCCTTTACTACCGTAATCCTCAAAGCATTCCAAATCTCCACTTGCAGATACTACGAAAAGAGCGATTCAACCTGAACTCACAAGGGAAGGTTCAACTCTGTCAGTTGAATACCAACATCACAAAGAAGTTCTGAGAATGCTTCTCTTCAGTTATGTGAGTTTTATCCCGTTTCCAACGAAATTCTCAGAGAAGTACAAATATCCACTTGCATATTCTACAAAAAGTGTGTTTTGAATGTGCTCCATCAAAAGATATGCTCACCTCTGTGAGTTAAACTCAATCATCACAAAGAATTTTCTGAGAATGCTTCTGTCTTGTTTTAGGATGAAGTTATTTCCTTTACGACGATAGGCCTCAAAGAGGTCCAAATCTCCACTTGCAGATTCTGCAGAAGGAGTGTTTCAAACCGGAACTATCAGAGAAAGGTTCAACACTGTGAGTTGAATGCAAGCATCACGAAGAAGGTTCTGAGAATGCTTCTGTTTAGATAGGTGAGTTTTCTCCCGTATCCAACGAAATCCTCAGAGAGGTCCAAATATCCACTTGCAGATTCTACAGAAAGTGTGTTTTGAAACTGCTCCATCCAAAGGAATGTTCAGCTCTGTGAGTTGAACTCAATCGTCACAAAGTGTTTCCTGGGAATGCTACTGTCTAGTTTTTATGGGCAGTTATATCCTCTGCTACCACAGGCCTCAAAGCGGTCCAAATCTCCCCTTTCAGATTCTACCAAAAGTGTGTTTCCAAACGGCTCTATCAAAGGGAATGTTCAACTCTGTGACTTGAATGCAATCATCACAAAGCAGTTTCTGAGAATGCTTCCATGTAGCTTTTATGAGCAGATATTTCCTTTTCCACCCCAGGCCTCGAAGCCCTCCAAATGTCCCCTTGCAGATGCTAGAAAGAGAGGGTTTCAAAGCTGCTCTATCAAAAGGAAAGTACAACTCTGTGAGTTGAATGCAAACATCACAAAGAAGTTCCTGAGCATGCTTCCGTTTAGCTTTTATGGGAAGATTATCCCTTTTCCATCGAAATGTTCAAAGAGGTCCACATATCCGCTTGCAGATTCCACCGAAAGAGTGTTTCCAAACTGCTGTATCGAAAGGAATCTTCAACCCCGTGAGTTGAATGCAATCATCACAAAGAAGTTTCTGACAATGCTTCTCTCTAGTTTTTATGTGAAGATAATTCCTTTTCCACCACAGGCCTGAAAGCGCTCCAAATGTCCACTTGGTGACTCTACGAAAAGAATGTTTCAAAACTGCTCTATGAAAAGCAATGTTATACTCTGGGAGATGAACACAAGCCTCACAAAGGAGTTTCTGAGAATGCTTCTGTTTACTTTTTACGTGAAGATATTCCCGTTTCCAAAGAAATCTTCACAGAGTTCCACCTATCCATTTGCAGATGCTAGAAAAAGAGAGTTTCAAAACTGCTCTATCAAAAGGAATGTTCAACTCTGTGAGTTGAATGCAATCATCACAGAGAAGTTTCTGAGAAGGCTTCTGTCTAGATTTTATGTGAAGATATACCCGTTTCGAACAAAGGCCACAAAGTGCTCCAAATATCCACTTGCAGGTCCTCCAACAAGAGTGTTTCAAACGTGAACTATCAAAGGAAGGTTCAACTCTGGACTTTGAATGCAAACGTCAGAAAGATGTTTCTGCGAAAGCTTCTGTATAGTTAGGTGACGTTATCCCGTTTTCAACGAAATCCTCAGAGAGGTCCAAATATCCACCTGCAGATTCTGCAAAAAGTGTGTTTCCAAACTGCTCCACCCAAAGGCATGTTCAGCTCTGTGAGTTAAACTCAATCATCACAAAGTATTTTCTGAGAATGCTTCTGTCCAGTTTTTACATGAAGCTGTTTCCTTTACTACCGTAGGCCTCAAAGCGTTCCAAATCTCCACTTGCACATACTACGAAAAGAGCGTTTCAACCTGAACTCACAAGGGAAGGTTCAACTCTGTCAGTTGAATGCCAACATCACAAAGAAATTCTGGGAATGTTTCTCTTCAGGTATGTGAGATTTATCCCGTTTCCAACGAAATTCTCAGAGAAGTACAAATATCCACTTGCATATTCGACAAAAAGTGTGTTTTGAAAGTGCTCCATCAAAAGATATGTTCAGCTCTGTGAGTTAAACTCAATCATCACAAAGAATTTTCTGAGAATGCTTCTGTCTTGTTTTAGGATGAAGTTATTTCCTTTACGACGATAGGCCTCAAAGAGGTCCAAATCTCCACTTGCAGATTCTGCAGAAGGAGTGTTTCAAACCTGAACTATCAGAGAAAGGTTCAACACTGTGAGTTGAATGCAAGCATCACGAAGAAGGTTCTGAGAATGCTTCTGTTTAGATAGGTGAGTTTTCTCCCTTATCCAACGAAATCCTCAGAGAGGTCCAAATATCCACTTGCAGATTCTACCGAAAGTGTGTTTTGAAACTGCTCCATCCAAAGGAATGTTCAGCTCTGTGAGTTGAACTCAATCGTCACAAAGTGTTTCCTGGGAATGCTACTGTCTAGTTTTTATGGGCAGTTATATCCTCTGCTGCCATAGGCCTCAAAGCGGTCCAAATCTCCCCTTTCAGATTCTACCAAAAGTGTGTTTCCAAACGGCTCTATCAAAGGGAATGTTCAACTCTGTGACTTGAATGCAATCATCACAAAGCAGTTTCTGAGAATGCTTCCATGTAGCTTTTATGAGCAGATATTTCCTTTTCCACCCCAGGCCTCGAAGCCCTCCAAATGTCCCCTTACAGATGCTAGAAAGAGAGGGTTTCAAAGCTGCTCTATCAAAAGGAAAGGACAACTCTGTGAGTTGAATGCAAACATCACAAAGAAGTTCCTGAGCATGCTTCCGTTTAGCTTTTATGGGAAGATAATCCCTTTTCCATCGAAATGTTCAAAGAGGTCCACATATCCGCTTGCATATTCCACCGAAAGAGTGTTTCCAAACTGCTGTATCAAAAGGAATCTTCAACTCCGTGAGTTGAATGCAATCATCACAAAGAAGTTTCTGACAACGCTTCTCTCTAGTTTTTATGTGAAGATATTTCCTTTTCCACCACAGGCCTGAAAGCGCTCCAAATGTCCACTTGGAGACTCTACGAAAAGAATGTTTCAAAACTGCTCTATGAAAAGCAATGTTATACTCTGGGAGTTGAACACAAGCCTCACAAAGGACTTTCTGAGAATGCTTCTGTTTACTTTTTACGTGAAGATATTCCCGTTTCCAAAGAAATCTTCACAGAGTTCCACCTATCCATTTGCAGATGCTAGAAAAAGAGAGTTTCAAAACTGCTCTATCAAAAGGAATGTTCAACTCTGTGAGTTGAATGCAGTCATCACAGAGAAGTTTCTGAGAAGGCTTCTGTCTAGATTTTATGTGAAGATATACCCGTTTCGAACGAAGGCCACAAAGTGCTCCAAATATCCACTTGCAGGTCCTCCAACAAGAGTGTTTCAAACGTGAACTATCAAAGGAAGGTTCAACTCTGGACTTTGAATGCAAACGTCAGAAAGATGTTTCTGCGAAAGCTTCTGTTTAGTTAGGTGACGTTATCCCGTTTCCAACGAAATCCTCAGAGAGGTCCAAATGTCCACCTGCAGAGTCTACAAAAAGTGTGTTTCCAAACTGCTCCACCCAAAGGAATGTTCAGCTCTGTGAGTTAAACTCAATCATCACAAAGTATTTTCTGAGAATGCTTCTGTCCAGTTTTTACATGAAGCTGTTTCCTTTACTACCGTAGGCCTCAAAGCGTTCCAAATCTCCACTTGCAGATACTACGAAAAGAGCATTTCAACCTGAACTCACAAGGGAAGGTTCAACTCTGTCAGTTGAATGCCAACATCACAAAGAAGTTCTGGGAATGTTTCTCTTCAGTTATGTGAGTTTTATCCCGTTTCCAACGAAATTCTCAGAGAAGTACAAATATCCACTTGCATATTCGACAAAAACTGTGTTTTGAAAGTGCTCCATCAAAAGATATGTTCAGCTCTGTGAGTTAAACTCAATCATCACAAAGAATTTTCTGAGAATGCTTCTGTCTTGTTTTAGGATGAAGTTATTTCCTTTACGACGATAGGCCTCAAAGAGGTCCAAATCTCCACTTCCAGATTCTGCAGAAGGAGTGTTTCAAACCTGAACTACCAGAGAAAGGTTCAACACTGTGAGTTGAATGCAAGCATCACGAAGAAGGTTCTGAGAATGCTTCTGTTTAGATAGGTGAGTTTTCTCCCGTATCCAACGAAATCCTCAGAGAGGTCCAAATATCCACTTGCAGATTCTACAGAAAGTGTGTTTTGAAACTGCTCCATCCAAAGGAATGTTCAGCTCTGTGAGTTGAACTCAATCGTCACAAAGTGTTTCCTGGGAATGCTACTGTCTAGTTTTTATGGGCAGTTACATCCTCTGCTGCCATAGGCCTCAAAGCGGTCCAAATCTCCCCTTTCAGATTCTACCAAAAGTGTGTTTCCAAACGGCTCTATCAAAGGGAATGTTCAACTCTGTGACTTGAATGCAATCATCACAAAGCAGTTTCTGAGAATGCTTCCATGTAGCTTTTAGGAGAAGATATTTCCTTTTCCACCCCAGGCCTCGAAGCCCTCCAAATGTCCCCTTGCAGATGCTAGAAAGAGAGGGTTTCAAAGCTGCTCTATCAAAAGGAAAGTACAACTCTGTGAGTTGAATGCAAACATCACAAAGAAGTTCCTGAGCATGCTTCCGTTTAGCTTTCATGGGAAGATTATCCCTTTTCCATCGAAATGTTCAAAGAGGTCCACATATCCGCTTGCAGATTCCACCGAAAGAGTGTCTCCAAACTGCTGTATCAAAAGGAATCTTCAACTCCGTGAGTTGAATGCAATCATCACAAAGAAGTTTCTGACAATGCTTCTCTCTAGTTTTTATGTGAAGATATTTCCTTTTCCACCACAGGCCTGAAAGCGCTCCAAATGTCCACTTGGAGACTCTACGAAAAGAATGTTTCAAAACTGCTCTATGAAAAGCAATGTTATACTCTGGGAGTTGAACACAAGCCTCACAAAGGAGTTTCTGAGAATGCTTCTGTTTACTTTTTACGTGAAGATATTCCCGTTTCCAAAGAAATCTTCACAGGCTTCCACCTATCCATTTGCAGATGCTAGAAAAAGAGAGTTTCAAAACTGCTCTATCAAAAGGAATGTTCAACTCTGTGAGTTGAATGCAGTCATCACAGAGAAGTTTCTGAGAAGGCTTCTGTCTAGATTTTATGTGAAGATATACCCGTTTCGAACGAAGGCCACAAAGTGCTCCAAATATCCACTTGCAGGTCCTCCAACAAGAGTGTTTCAAACGTGAACTATCAAAGGAAGGTTCAACTCTGGACTTTGAATGCAAACGTCAGAAAGATGTTTCTGCGAAAGCTTCTGTTTAGTTAGGTGACGTTATCCCGTTTCCAACGAAATCCTCAGAGAGGTCCAAATATCCACCTGCAGATTCTGCAAAAAGTGTGTTTCCAAACTACTCCACACAAAGGCATGTTCAGCTCTGTGAGTTAAACTCAATCATCACAAAGTATTTTCTGAGAATGCTTCTGTCCAGTTTTTACATGAAGCTGTTTCCTTTACTACCGTAGGCCTCAAAGCGTTCCAAATCTCCACTTGCAGATACTACGAAAAGAGCGTTTCAACCTGAACTCACAAGGGAAGGTTCAACTCTGTCAGTTGAATGCCAACATCACAAAGAAGTTCTGGGAATGTTTCTCTTCAGTTATGTGAGTTTTATCCCGTTTCCAACGAAATTCTCAGAGAAGTACAAATATCCACTTGCATATTCTACAAAAAGTGTGTTTTGAAAATGCTCCATCAAAAGATATGCTCACCTCTGTGAGTTAAACTCAATCATCACAAAGAATTTTCTGAGAATGCTTCTGTCTTGTTTTAGGATGAAGTTATTTCCTTTACGACGATAGGCCTCAAAGAGGTCCAAATCTCCACTTGCAGATTCTGCAGAAGGAGTGTTTCAAACCTGAACTATCAGAGAAAGGTTCAACACTGTGAGTTCAATGCAAGCATCACGAAGAAGGTTCTGAGAATGCTTCTGTTTAGATAAGTGAGTTTTCTCCCGTATCCAACGAAATCCTCAGAGAGGTCTAAATATCCACTTGCAGATTCTACAGAAAGTGTGTTTTGAAACTGCTCCATCCAAAGTAATGTTCAGCTCTGTGAGTTGAACTCAATCGTCACAAACTGTTTCCTGGGAATGCTACTGTCTAGTTTTTATGGGCAGTTATATCCTCTGCTGCCATAGGCCTCAAAGCGGTCCAAATCTCCCCTTTCAGATTCTACCAAAAGTGTGTTTCCAAACGGCTCTATCAAAGGGAATGTTCAACTCTGTGACTTGAATGCAATCATCACAAAGCAGTTTCTGAGAATGCTTCCATGTAGCTTTTATGAGCAGATATTTCCTTTTCCACCCCAGGCCTCGAAGCCCTCCAAATGTCCCCTTGCAGATGCTAGAAAGAGAGGGTTTCAAAGCTGCTCTATCAAAAGGAAAGTACAACTCTGTGAGTTGAATGAAAACATCACAAAGAAGTTCCTGAGCATGCTTCCGTTTAGCTTTTATGGGAAGATTATCCCTTTTCCATCGAAATGTTCAAAGAGGTCCACATATCCGCTTGCAGATTCCACCGAAAGCGTGTTTCCAACCTGCTGTATCGAAAGGAATCTTCAACTCCGTGAGTTGAATGCAATCATCACAAAGAAGTTTCTGACAATGCTTCTCTCTAGTTTTTATGTGAAGATATTTCCTTTTCCACCACAGGCCTGAAAGCGCTCCAAATGTCCACTTGGAGACTCTACGAAAAGAATGTTTCAAAACTGCTCTATGAAAAGCAATGTTATACTCTGGGAGATGAACACAAGCCTCACAAAGGAGTTTCTCAGAATGCTTCTGTTTACTTTTTACGTGAAGATATTCCCGTTTCCAAAGAAATCTTCACAGAGTTCCACCTATCCATTTGCAGATGCTAGAAAAAGAGACTTTCAAAACTGCTCTATCAAAAGGAATATTCAACTCTGTGAGTTGAAAGCAATCATCACAGTGAAGTTTCTGAGAAGGCTTCTGTCTAGATTTTATGTGAAGATATACCCGTTTCGAACAAAGGCCACAAAGTGCTCCAAATATCCACTTGCAGGTCCTCCAACAAGAGTGTTTCAAACGTGAACTATCAAAGGAAGGTTCAACTCTGGACTTTGAATGCAAACGTCAGAAAGATGTTTCTGCGAAAGCTTCTGTTTAGTTAGGTGACGTTATCCCGTTTCCAACGAAATCCTCAGAGAGGTCCAAATATCCACCTGCAGATTCTGCAAAAAGTGTGTTTCCAAACTGCTCCACCCAAAGGCATGTTCAGTTCTGTGAGTTAAACTCAATCATCACAAAGTATTTTCTGAGAATGCTTCTGTCCAGTTTTTACATGAAGCTGTTTCCTTTACTACCGTAGGCCTCAAAGCGTTCCAAATCTCCACTTGCAGATACTACGAAAAGAGCGTTTCAACCTGAACTCACGAGGGAAGGTTCAACTCTGTCAGTTGAATGCCAACATCACAAAGAAGTTCTGGGAATGTTTCTCTTCAGTTATGTGAGTTTTATCCCGTTTCCAACGAAATTCTCAGAGAAGTACAAATATCCACTTGCATATTCTACAAAAAGTGTGTTTTGAATGTGCTCCATCAAAAGATATGCTCACCTCTGTGAGTTAAACTCAATCATCACAAAGAATTTTCTGAGAATGCTTCTGTCTTGTTTTAGGATGAAGTTATTTCCTTTACGACGATAGGCCTCAAAGAGGTCCAAATCTCCACTTGCAGATTCTGCAGAAGGAGTGTTTCAAACCTGAACTATCAGAGAAAGGTTCAACACTGTGAGTTGAATGCAAGCATCACGAAGAAGGTTCTGAGAATGCTTCTGTTTAGATAGGTGAGTTTTCTCCCGTATCCAACGAAATCCTCAGAGAGGTCCAAATATCCACTTGCAGATTCTACAGAAAGTGTGTTTTGAAACTGCTCCATCCAAAGGAATGTTCAGCTCTGTGAGTTGAACTCAATCGTCACAAAGTGTTTCCTGGGAATGCTACTGTCTAGTTTTTATGGGCAGTTATATCCTCTGCTGCCATAGGCCTCAAAGCGGTCCAAATCTCCCCTTTCAGATTCTACCAAAAGTGTGTTTCCAAACGGCTCTATCAAAGGGAATGTTCAACTCTGTGACTTGAATGCAATCATCACAAAGCAGTTTCTGAGAATGCTTCCATGTAGCTTTAATGAGCAGATATTTCCTTTTCCACCCCAGGCCTCGAAGCCCTCCAAATGTCCCCTTGCAGATGCTAGAAAGAGAGGGTTTCAAAGCTGCTCTATCAAAAGGAAAGTACAACTCTGTGAGTTGAATGCAAACATCACAAAGAAGCTCCTGAGCATGCTTCCGTTTAGCTTTTATGGGAAAATTATCCCTTTTCCATCGAAATGTTCAAAGAGGTACACATATCCGCTTGCAGATTCCACCGAAAGAGTGTTTCCAAACTGCTGTATCAAAAGGAATCTTCAACTCCGTGAGTTGAATGCAATCATCACAAAGAAGTTTCTGACAACGCTTCTCTCTAGTTTTTATGTGAAGATATTTCCTTTTCCACCACAGGCCTGAAAGCGCTCCAAATGTCCACTTGGAGACTCTACGAAAAGAATGTTTCAAAACTGCTCTATGAAAAGCAATGTTATACTCTGGGAGTTGAACACAAGCCTCACAAAGGAGTTTCTGAGAATGCTTCTGTTTACTTTTTACGTGAAGATATTCCCGTTTCCAAAGAAATCTTCACAGAGTTCCACCTATCCATTTGCAGATGCTAGAAAAAGAGAGTTTCAAAACTGCTCTATCAAAAGGAATGTTCAACTCTGTGAGTTGAATGCAGTCATCACAGAGAAGTTTCTGAGAAGGCTTCTGTCTAGATTTTATGTGAAGATATACCCGTTTCGAACAAAGGCCACAAAGTGCTCCAAATATCCACTTTCAGGTCCTCCAACAAGAGTGTTTCAAACGTGAACTATCAAAGGAAGGTTCAACTCTGGACTTTGAATGCAAACGTCAGAAAGATGTTTCTGCGAAAGCTTCTGTTTAGTTAGGTGACGTTACCCGTTTCCAACGAAATCCTCAGAGAGGTCCAAATATCCACCTGCAGATTCTGCAAAAAGTGTGTTTCCAAACTGCTCCACCCAAAGGCATGTTCAGCTCTGTGAGTTAAACTCAATCATCACAAAGTATTTTCTGAGAATGCTTCTGTCCAGTTTTTACATGAAGCTGTTTCCTTTACTACCGTAGGCCTCAAAGCGTTCCAAATCTCCACTTGCAGATACTACGAAAAGAGCGTTTCAACCTGAACTCACGAGGGAAGGTTCAACTCTGTCAGTTGAATGCCAACATCACAAAGAAGTTCTGGGAATGTTTCTCTTCAGTTATGTGAGTTTTATCCCGTTTCCAACGAAATTCTCAGAGAAGTACAAATATCCACTTGCATATTCTACAAAAAGTGTGTTTTGAAAGTGCTCCATCAAAAGATATGCTCAGCTCTGTGAGTTAAACTCAATCATCACAAAGAATTTTCTGAGAATGCTTCTGTCTTGTTTTAGGATGAAGTTATTTCCTTTACGACGATAGGCCTCAAAGAGGTCCAAATCTCCACTTGCAGATTCTGCAGAAGGAGTGTTTCAAACCTGAACTATCAGAGAAAGGTTCAACACTGTGAGTTGAATGCAAGCATCACGAAGAAGGTTCTGAGAATGCTTCTGTTTAGATAGGTGAGTTTTCTCCCGTATCCAATGAAATCCTCAGAGAGGTCCAAATATCCACTTGCAGATTCTACAGAAAGTGTGTTTTGAAACTGCTCCATCCAAAGGAATGTTCAGCTCTGTGAGTTGAACTCAATCGTCACAAAGTGTTTCCTGGGAATGCTACTGTCTAGTTTTTATGGGCAGTTATATCCTCTGCTGCCATAGGCCTCAAAGCGGTCCAAATCTCCCCTTTCAGATTCTACCAAAAGTGTGTTTCCAAACGGCTCTATCAAAGGGAATGTTCAACTCTGTGACTTGCATGCAATCATCACAAAGCAGTTTCTGAGAATGCTTCCATGTAGCTTTTATGAGCAGATATTTCCTTTTCCACCCCAGGCCTCGAAGCCCTCCAAATGTCCCCTTGCAGATGCTAGAAAGAGAGGGTTTCAAAGCTGCTCTATCAAAAGGAAAGTACAACTCTGTGAGTTGAATGCAAACATCACAAAGAAGTTCCTGAGCATGCTTCCGTTTAGCTTTCATGGGAAGATTATCCCTTTTCCATCGAAATGTTCAAAGAGGTCCACATATCCGCTTGCAGATTCCACCGAAAGAGTGTTTCCAAACTGCTGTATCAAAAGGAATCTTCAACTCCGTGAGTTGAATGCAATCATCACAAAGAAGTTTCTGACAATGCTTCTCTCTAGTTTTTATGTGAAGATATTTCCTTTTCCACCACAGGCCTGAAAGCGCTCCAAATGTCCACTTGGAGACTCTACGAAAAGAATGTTTCAAAACTGCTCTATGAAAAGCAATGTTATACTCTGGGAGTTGAACACAAGCCTCACAAAGGAGTTTCTGAGAATGCTTCTGTTTACTTTTTACGTGAAGATATTCCCGTTTCCAAAGAAATCTTCACAGACTTCCACCTATCCATTTGCAGATGCTTGAAAAAGAGAGTTTCAAAACTGCTCTATCAAAAGGAATGTTCAACTCTGTGAGTTGAATGCAGTCATCACAGAGAAGTTTCTGAGAAGGCTTCTGTCTAGATTTTATGTGAAGATATACCCGTTTCGAACGAAGGCCACAAAGTGCTCCAAATATCCACTTGCAGGTCCTCCAACAAGAGTGTTTCAAACGTGAACTATCAAAGGAAGGTTCAACTCTGGACTTTGAATGCAAACGTCAGAAAGATGTTTCTGCGAAAGCTTCTGTTTAGTTAGGTGACGTTATCCCGTTTCCAACGAAATCCTCAGAGAGGTCCAAATATCCACCTGCAGATTCTGCAAAAAGTGTGTTTCCAAACTGCTCCACCCAAAGGCATGTTCAGCTCTGTGAGTTAAACTCAATCATCACAAAGTATTTTCTGAGAATGCTTCTGTCCAGTTTTTACATGAAGCTGTTTCCTTTACTACCGTAGGCCTCAAAGCGTTCCAAATCTCCACTTGCAGATACTACGAAAAGAGCGTTTCAACCTGAACTCACGAGGGAAGGTTCAACTCTGTCAGTTGAATGCCAACATCACAAAGAAGTTCTGGGAATGTTTCTCTTCAGTTATGTGAGTTTTATCCCGTTTCCAACGAAATTCTCAGAGAAGTACAAGTATCCACTTGCATCTTCTACAAAAAGTGTGTTTTGAAAGTGCTCCATCAAAAGATATGCTCAGCTCTGTGAGTTAAACTCAATCATCACAAAGAATTTTCTGAGAACGCTTCTGTCTTGTTTTAGGATGAAGTTATTTCCTTTACGACGATAGGCCTCAAAGAGGTCCAAATCTCCACTTGCAGATTCTGCAGAAGGAGTGTTTCAAACCTGAACTATCAGAGAAAGGTTCAACACTGTGAGTTGAATGCAAGCATTACGAAGAAGGTTCTGAGAATGCCTCTGTTTAGATAGGTGAGTTTTCTCCCGTATCCAACGATATCCTCAGAGAGGTCCAAATATCCACTTGCAGATTCTACAGAAAGTGTGTTTTGAAACTGCTCCATCCAAAGGAATGTTCAGCTCTGTGAGTTGAACTCAATTGTCACAAAGTGTTTCCTGGGAATGCTACTGTCTAGTTTTTATGGGCAGTTATATCCTCTGCTGCCATAGGCCTCAAAGCGGTCCAAATCTCCCCTTTCAGATTCTACCAAAAGTGTGTTTCCAAACGGCTCTATCAAAGGGAATGTTCAACTCTGTGACTTGAATGCAATCATCACAAAGCAGTTTCTGAGAATGCTTCCATGTAGCTTTTATGAGAAGATATTTCCTTTTCCACCCCAGGCCTCGAAGCCCTCCAAATGTCCCCTGGCAGATGCTAGAAAGAGAGGGTTTCAAAGCTGCTCTATCAAAAGGAAAGTACAACTCTGTGAGTTGAATGCAAACATCACAAAGAAGTTCCTGAGCATGCTTCCGTTTAGCTTTTATGGGAAGATTATCCCTTTTCCATCGAAATATTCAAAGAGGTCCACATATCCGCTTGCAGATTCCACCGAAAGAGTGTTTCCAAATTGCTGTATCGAAAGGAATCTTCAACTCCGTGAGTTGAATGCAATCATCACAAAGAAGTTTCTGACAATGCTTCTCTCTAGTTTTTATGTGAAGATATTTCCTTTTCCACCACAGGCCTGAAAGCGCTCCAAATGTCCACTTGGAGACTCTACGAAAAGAATGTTTCAAAACTGCTCTATGAAAAGCAATGTTATACTCTGGGAAGTTGAACACAAGCCTCACAAAGGAGTTTCTGAGAATGCTTCTGTTTACTTTTTACGTGAAGATATTCCCGTTTCCAAAGAAATCTTCACAGACTTCCACCTATCCATTTGCAGATGCTAGAAAAAGAGAGTTTCAAAACTGCTCTATCAAAAGGAATGTTCAACTCTGTGAGTTGAATGCAGTCATCACAGAGAAGTTTCTGAGAAGGCTTCTGTCTAGATTTTATGTGAAGATATACCCGTTTCGAACGAAGGCCACAAAGTGCTCCAAATATCCACTTGCAGGTCCTCCAACAAGAGTGTTTCAAACGTGAACTATCAAAGGAAGGTTCAACTCTGGACTTTGAATGCAAACGTCAGAAAGATGTTTCTGCGAAAGCTTCTGTTTAGTTAGGTGACGTTATCCCGTTTCCAACGAAATCCTCAGAGAGGTCCAAATATCCACCTGCAGATTCTGCAAAAAGTGTGTTTCCAAACTGCTCCACCCAAAGGCATGTTCAGCTCTGTGAGTTAAACTCAATCATCACAAAGTATTTTCTGAGAATGCTTCTGTCCAGTTTTTACATGAAGCTGTTTCCTTTACTACCGTAGGCCTCAAAGCGTTCCAAATCTCCACTTGCAGATACTACGAAAAGAGCGTTTCAACCTGAACTCACAAGGGAAGGTTCAACTCTGTCAGTTGAATGCCAACACCACAAAGAAGTTCTGGGAATGTTTCTCTTCAGTTATGTGAGTTTTATCCCGTTTCCAACGAAATTCTCAGAGAAGTACAAATATCCACTTGCATATTCTACAAAAAGTGTGTTTTGAAAATGCTCCATCAAAAGATATGCTCAGCTCTGTGAGTTAAACTCAATCATCACAAAGAATTTTCTGAGAATGCTTCTGTCTTGTCTTAGGATGAAGTTATTTCCTTTACGACGATAGGCCTCAAAGAGGTCCAAATCTCCACTTGCAGATTCTGCAGAAGGAGTGTTTCAAACCTGAACTATCAGAGAAAGGTTCAACACTGAGAGTTGAATGCAAGCATCACGAAGAAGGTTCTGAGAATGCTTCTGTTTAGATAAGTGAGTTTTCTCCCATATCCAACGAAATCCTCAGAGAGGTCCAAATATCCACTTGCAGATTCTACAGAAAGTGTGTTTTGAAACTGCTCCATCCAAAGGAATGTTCAGCTCTGTGAGTTGAACTCAATCGTCACAAAGTGTTTCCTGGGAATGCTACTGTCTAGTTTTTATGTGCAGTTATATCCTCTGCTGCCATAGGCCTCAAAGCGGTCCAAATCTCCCCTTTCAGATTCCACCAAAAGTGTGTTTCCAAACGGCTCTATCAAAGGGAATGTTCAACTCTGTGACTTGAATGCAATCATCACAAAGCAGTTTCTGAGAATGCTTCCATGTAGCTTTTAGGAGCAGATATTTCCTTTTCCACCCCAGGCCTCGAAGCCCTCCAAATGTCCCCTTGCAGATGCTAGAAAGAGAGGGTTTCAAAGCTGCTCTATCAAAAGGAAAGTACAACTCTGTGAGTTGAATGCAAACATCACAAAGAAGCTCCTGAGCATGCTTCCGTTTAGCTTTCATGGGAAGATTATCCCTTTTCC
Source organism: Homo sapiens (assembly GCF_000001405.40). NCBI lineage: Eukaryota > Metazoa > Chordata > Mammalia > Primates > Hominidae > Homo > Homo sapiens. The sequence goes on along the minus strand of NC_000001.11, from coordinate 122,431,130 downwards.
ATCGAAATGTTCAAAGAGGTCCACATATCCGCTTGCAGATTCCACCGAAAGAGTGTTTCCAAACTGCTGTATCAAAAGGAATCTTCAACTTCGTGAGTTGAATGCAATCATCACAAAGAAGTTTCTGACAATGCTTCTCTCTAGTTTTTATGTGAAGATATTTCCTTTTCCACCACAGGCCTGAAAGCGCTCCAAATGTCCACTTGGAGACTCTACGAAAAGAATGTTTCAAAACTGCTCTATGAAAAGCAATGTTATACTCTGGGAGTTGAACACAAGCCTCACAAAGGAGTTTCTGAGAATGCTTCTGTTTACTTTTTACGTGAAGATATTCCCGTTTCCTAAGAAATCTTCACAGAGTTCCACCTATCCATTTGCAGATGCTTGAAAAAGAGAGTTTCAAAACTGCTCTGTCAAAAGGAATGTTCAACTCTGTGAGTTGAATGCAATCATCACAGAGAAGTTTCTGAGAAGGCTTCTGTCTAGATTTTATGTGAAGATATACCCGTTTCGAACGAAGGCCACAAAGTGCTCCAAATATCCACTTGCAGGTCCTCCAACAAGAGTGTTTCAAACGCGAACTATCAAAGGAAGGTTCAACTCTGGACTTTGAATGCAAACGTCAGAAAGATGTTTCTGCGAAAGCTTCTGTTTAGTTAGGTGACATTATCCCGTTTCCAACGAAATCCTCAGAGAGGTGAAATATCCACCTGCAGATTCTGCAAAAAGTGTGTTTCCAAACTGCTCCACCCAAAGGAATGTTCAGCTCTGTGAGTTAAACTCAATCATCACAAAGTATTTTCTGAGAATGCTTCTGTCCAGTTTTTACATGAAGCTGTTTCCTTTACTACCGTAGGCCTCAAAGCGTTCCAAATCTCCACTTGCAGATACTACGAAAACGGCGTTTCAACCTGAACTCACAAGGGAAGGTTCAACTCTGTCAGTTGAATGCCAACATCACAAAAAGTTCTGGGAATGTTACTCTTCAGTTATGTGAGTTTTATCCCGTTTCCAACGAAATTCTCAGAGAAGTACAAATATCCGCTAGCATATTTTACAAAAAGTGTGTTTTGAAAATGCTCCATCAAAAGAGATGCTCAGCTCTGTGAGTTAAACTCAATCATCACAAAGAATTTTCTGAGAATGCTTCTGTCTTGTTTTAGGATGAAGTTACTTCCTTTACGACGATAGGCCTCAAAGAGGTTCAAATCTCCAATTGCAGATTGTGCAGAAGGAATGTTTCTAACCTGAACTATCAGAGAATGGTTCAACACTGTGAGTTGAATACAAGCATCACGAAGAAGGTTCTGAGAATGCTTCTGTTTAGATAGGTGAGTTTTCTCCCGTATCCAACGAAATCCTCAGAGAGGTCCAAATATCCACTTGCAGATTCTACAGAAAGTGTGTTTTGAAACTGCTCCATCCAAAGGAATGTTCAGCTCTGTGAGTTGAACTCAATCGTCACAAAGTGTTTCCTGGGAATGCTACTGTCTAGTTTTTATGGGCAGTTATATCCTCTGCTGCCATAGGCCTCAAAGCGGTCCAAATCTCCCCTTTCAGATTCTACCAAAAGTGTGTTTCCAAACGGCTCTATCAAAGGGAATGTTCAACTCTGTGACTTGAATGCAATCATCACAAAGCAGTTTCTGAGAATGCTTCCATGTAGCTTTGATGAGAAGATATTTCCTTTTCCACCCCAGGCCTCGAAGCCCTCCAAATGTCCCCTTGCAGATGCTAGAAAGAGGGGGTTTCAAAGCTGCTCTATCAGAAGGAAAGTACAACTCTGTGAGTTGAATGCAAACATCACAAGGAAGTTCCTGAGCATGCTTCCGTTTAGCTTTCATGGGAAGATTATCCCTTTTCCATCGAAATGTTCAAAGAGGTCCACATATCCGCTTGCAGATTCCACCGAAAGAGTGTTTCCAAACTGCTGTATCAAAAGGAATCTTCAACTCCGTGAGTTGAATGCAATCATCACAAAGAAGTTTCTGACAATGCTTCTCTCTAGTTTTTATGTGAAGATATTTCCTTTTCCACCACAGGCCTGAAAGCGCTCCAAATGTCCACTTGGAGACTCTACGAAAAGAATGTTTCAAAACTGCTCTATGAAAAGCAATGTTATACTCTGGGAGTTGAACACAAGCCTCACAAAGGAGTTTCTGAGAATGCTTCTGTTTACTTTTTACGTGAAGATATTCCCGTTTCCAAAGAAATCTTCACAGGCTTCCACCTATCCATTTGCAGATGCTAGAAAAAGAGAGTTTCAAAACTGCTCTATCAAAAGGAATGTTCAACTCTGTGAGTTGAATGCAGTCATCACAGAGAAGTTTCTGAGAAGGCTTCTGTGTAGATTTTATGTGAAGATATACCCGTTTCGAACGAAGGCCACAAAGTGCTCCAAATATGCACTTGCATGTCCTCCAACAAGAGTGTTTCAAACGAGAACTATCAAAGGAAGGTTCAACTCTGGACTTTGAATGCAAACGTCAGAAAGATGTTTCTGCGAAAGCTTCTGTTTAGTTAGGTGACGTTATCCCGTTTCCAACGAAATCCTCAGAGAGGTCCAAATATCCACCTGCAGATTCTGCAAAAAGTGTGTTTCCAAACTGCTCCACCCAAAGGCATGTTCAGCTCTGTGAGTTAAACTCAATCATCACAAAGTATTTTCTGAGAATGCTTCTGTCCAGTTTTTACTCGAAGCTATTTCCTTTACTACCGTAGGCCACAAAGCGTTCCAAATCTCCACTTGCAGATACTACGAAAAGAGTGTTTCAACCTGAACTCACAAGGGACGGTTCAACTCTGTGAGTTGAATGCCAACATCACGAAGCAGTTCCTGACAAGGCTTCCGCTCAGTTAGGTGTGGTTTATCCCGTTTCCAACGAAATCCTCAGAGAAGTACAAATATCCACTTGCAGATCCTACAAAAAGTGTGTTTCGAAACTGCTCCATCCAAAGGAATGTTCAGCTCTGTGAGTTGAACTCAATCGTCACACAGTGTTTCCTGAGAATGCTACTGTCTAGTTTTTATGGGCAGTTATATCCTCTGCTGCCATAGGCCTCAAAGCGGTCCAAATCTCCCCTTTCAGATTCTACCAAAAGTGTGTTTCCAAACGGCTCTATCAAAGGGAATGTTCAACTCTGTGACTTGAATGCAATCATCACAAAGCAGTTTCTGAGAATGCTTCCATGTAGCTTTTAGGAGAAGATATTTCCTTTTCCACCCCAGGCCTCGAAGCCCTCCAAATGTCCCCTTGCAGATGCTAGAAAGAGAGGGTTTCAAAGCTGCTCTATCAAAAGGAAAGTACAACTCTGTGAGTTGAATGCAAACATCACAAAGAAGCTCCTGAGCATGCTTCCGTTTAGCTTTTATGGGAAGATTATCCCTTTTCCATCGAAATGTTCAAAGAGGTCCACATATCCGCTTGCGGATTCCACCGAAAGAGTGTTTCCAAACTGCTGTATCAAAAGGAATCTTCAACTCCGTGAGTTGAATGCAATCATCACAAAGAAGTTTCTGACAACGCTTCTCTCTAGTTTTTATATGAAGATATTTCCTTTTCCACCACAGGCCTGAAAGCGCTCCAAATGTCCACTTGGAGACTCTACGAAAAGAATGTTTCAAAACTGCTCTATGAAAAGCAATGTTATACTCTGGGAGTTGAACACAAGCCTCACAAAGGAGTTTCTGAGAATGCTTCTGTTTACTTTTTACGTGAAGATATTCCCGTTTCCAAAGAAATCTTCACAGAGTTCCACCTATCCATTTGCAGATGCTAGAAAAAGAGACTTTCAAAACTGCTCTATCAAAAGGAATGTTCAACTCTGTGAGTTGAAAGCAATCATCACAGTGAAGTTTCTGAGAAGGCTTCTGTCTAGATTTTTTGTGAAGATATACCCGTTTCGAACGAAGGCCAGAAAGTGCTCCAAATATCCACTTGCAGGTCCTCCAACAAGAGTGTTTCAAACGTGAACTATCAAAGGAAGGTTCAACTCTGGACTTTGAATGCAAACGTCAGAAAGATGTTTCTGCGAAAGCTTCTGTTTAGTTAGGTGACGTTATCCCGTTTCCAACGAAATCCTCAGAGAGGTCCAAATATCCACCTGCAGATTCTGCAAAAAGTGTGTTTCCAAACTGCTCCACCCAAAGGCATGTTCAGCTCTGTGAGTTAAACTCAATCATCACAAAGTATTTTCTGAGAATGCTTCTGTCCAGTTTTTACATGAAGCTGTTTCCTTTACTACCGTAGGCCTCAAAGCGTTCCAAATCTCCACTTGCAGATACTACGAAAAGGGCGTTTCAACCTGAACTCACAAGGGAAGGTTCAACTCTGAGAGTTGAATGCCAACATCACAAAGAAGTTCTGGGAATGTTTCTCTTCAGTTATGTGAGTTTTATCCCGTTTCCAACGAAATTCTCAGAGAAGTACAAATATCCACTTGCATATTCTACAAAAAGTGTGTTTTGAAAGTGCTCCATCAAAAGATATGCTCAGCTCTGTGAGTTAAACTCAATCATCACAAAGAATTTTCTGAGAATGCTTCTGTCTTGTTTTAGGATGAAGTTATTTCCTTTACGACGATAGGCCTCAAAGAGGTCCAAATCTCCACTTGCAGATTCTGCAGAAGGAGTGTTTCAAACCTGAACTATCAGAGAAAGGTTCAACACTGTGAGTTGAATGCAAGCATCACGAAGAAGGTTCTGAGAATGCTTCTGTTTAGATAGGTGAGTTTTCTCCCGTATCCAAAGAAATCCTCAGAAAGGTCCAAATATCCACTTGCAGATTCTACAGAAAGTGTGTTTTGAAACTGCTCCATCCAAAGGAATGTTCAGCTCTGTGAGTTGAACTCAATCGTCACAAAGTGTTTCCTGCGAATGCTACTGTCTAGTTTTTATGGGCAGTTATATCCTCTGCTGCCATAGGCCTCAAAGCGGTCCAAATCTCCCCTTTCAGATTCTACCAAAAGTGTGTTTCCAAACGGCTCTATCAAAGGGAATGTTCAACTCTGTGACTTGAATGCAATCATCACAAAGCAGTTTCTGAGAATGCTTCCATGTAGCTTTAATGAGCAGATATTTCCTTTTCCACCCCAGGCCTCGAAGCCCTCCAAATGTCCCCTTGCAGATGCTAGAAAGAGAGGGTTTCAAAGCTGCTCTATCAAAAGGAAAGTACAACTCTGTGAGTTGAATGCAAACATCACAAAGAAGCTCCTGAGCATGCTTCAGTGTAGCTTTTATGGGAAGATTATCCCTTTTCCATCGAAATCTTCAAAGAGGTCCAAATATCCGCTTGCAGATTCCACCGAAAGAGTGATTCCAAACTGCTGTATCAAAAGGAATCTTCAACTCCGTGAGTTCAATGCAATCATCACAAAGAAGTTTCTGACAATGCTTCTCCCTAGTTTTTATGTGAAGATATTTCCTTTTCCACCACAGGCCTGAAAGCGCTGTAAATGTCCACTTGCAGACTCTACGAAAAGAATGCTTCAAAACTGCTCTATGAAAAGCAATGTTAAACTCTGGGAGTTGACCACAAGCCTCACAAAGAAGTTTCTGAGAATGCTTCTGTTTACTTTTTACGTGAAGATATTCCCGTTTCCAAAGAAATCTTCACAGGCTTCCACCTATCCATTTGCAGATGCTAGAAAAAGAGAGTTTCAAAACTGCTCTATCAAAAGGAATGTTCAACTCTGTGAGTTGAATGCAGTCATCACAGAGAAGTTTCTGAGAAGGCTTCTGTCTAGATTTTATGTGAAGATATACCCGTTTCGAACGAAGGCCACAAAGTGCTCCAAATATCCACTTGCAGGTCCTCCAACAAGAGTGTTTCAAACGTGAACTATCAAAGGAAGGTTCAACTCTGGACTTTGAATGCAAACGTCAGAAAGATGTTTCTGCGAAAGCTTCTGTTTAGTTAGGTGACGTTATCCCGTTTCCAACGAAATCCTCAGAGAGGTCCAAATATCCACCTGCAGATTCTGCAAAAAGTGTGTTTCCAAACTGCTCCACCCAAAGGCATGTTCAGCTCTGTGAGTTAAACTCAATCATCACAAAGTATTTTCTGAGAATGCTTCTGTCCAGTTTTTACATGAAGCTGTTTCCTTTACTACCGTAGGCCTCAAAGCATTCCAAATCTCCACTTGCAGATACTACGAAAAGAGCGTTTCAACCTGAACTCACAAGGGAAGGTTCAACTCTGTCAGTTGAATGCCAACATCACAAAGAAGTTCTGGGAATGTTTCTCTTCAGTTATGTGAGTTTTATCCCGTTTCCAACGAAATTCTCAGAGAAGTACAAATATCCACTTGCAGATTCTACAAAAAGTGTGTTTTGAAAGTGCTCCATCAAAAGATATGCTCAGCTCTGTGAGTTAAACTCAATCATCACAAATAATTTTCTGAGAATGCTTCTGTCTTGTTTTAGGATGAAGTTATTTCCTTTACGACGATAGGCCTCAAAGAGGTCCAAATCTCCACTTGCAGATTCTGCAGAAGGAGTGTTTCAAACCTGAACTATCAGAGAAAGGTTCAACACTGTGAGTTGAAAGCAAGCATCACGAAGAAGGTTCTGAGAATGCTTCTGTTTAGATAGGTGAGTTTTCTCCCGTATCCAACGAAATCCTCAGAGAGGTCCAAATATCCACTTGCAGATTCTACAGAAAGTGTGTTTTGAAACTGCTCCATCCAAAGGAATGTTCAGCTCTGTGAGTTGAACTCAATCGTCACAAAGTGTTTCCTGGGAATGCTACTGTCTAGTTTTTATGGGCAGTTATATCCTCTGCTGCCATAGGCCTCAAAGCGGTCCAAATCTCCCCTTTCAGATTCTACCAAAAGTGTGTTTCCAAACGGCTCTATCAAAGGGAATGTTAAACTCTGTGACTTGAATGCAATCATCACAAAGCAGTTTCTGAGAATGCTTCCATGTAGCTTTTAGGAGAAGATATTTCCTTTTCCACCCCAGGCCTCGAAGCCCTCCAAATGTCCCCTTGCAGATGCTAGAAAGAGAGGGTTTCAAAGCTGCTCTATCAAAAGGAAAGTACAACTCTGTGAGTTGAATGCAAACATCACAAAGAAGTTCCTGAGCATGCTTCCGTTTAGCTTTTATGGGAAGATTATCCCTTTTCCATCGAAATGTTCAAAGAGGTCCACATATCCGCTTGCGGATTCCACCGAAAGAGTGTTTCCAAACTGCTGTATCAAAAGGAATCTTCAACTCCGTGAGTTGAATGCAATCATCACAAAGAAGTTTCTTACAATGCTTCTCTCTCTAGTTTTTATGTGAAGATATTTCCTTTTCCACCACAGGCCTGAAGCTCTCCAAATGTCCACTTGGAGACTCTACGAAAAGAATGTTTCAAAACTGCTCTATGAAAAGCAATGTTATACTCTGGGAGTTGAACACAAGCCTCACAAAGGAGTTTCTGAGAATGCTTCTGTTTACTTTTTACGTGAAGATATTCCCGTTTCCAAAGAAATCTTCACAGAGTTCCACCTATCCATTTGCAGATGCTAGAAAAAGAGAGTTTCAAAACTGCTCTATCAAAAGGAATGTTCAACTCTGTGAGTTGAATGCAGTCATCACAGAGAAGTTTCTGAGAAGGCTTCTGTCTAGATTTTATGTGAAGATATACCCGTTTCGAACGAAGGCCACAAAGTGCTCCAAATATCCACTTGCAGGTCCTCCAACAAGAGTGTTTCAAACGTGAACTATCAAAGGAAGGTTCAACTCTGGACTTTGAATGCAAACGTCAGAAAGATGTTTCTGCGAAAGTCTGTTTAGTTAGGTGACGTTATCCCGTTTCCAACGAAATCCTCAGAGAGGTCCAAATATCCACCTGCAGAGTCTACAAAAAGTGTGTTTCAAAACTGCTCCACCAAAAGGAATGTTCAGCTCTGTGAGTTAAACTCAATCATCCCAAAGTATTTTCTGAGAATGCTTCTGTCCAGTTTTTACATGAAGCTGTTTCCTTTACTACCGTAGGCCTCAAAGCGTTCCAAATCTCCACTTGCAGATACTACGAAAAGAGCGATTCAACCTGAACTCACAAGGGAAGGTTCAACTCTGTCAGTTGAATGCCAACATCACAAAGAAGTTCTGAGAATGTTTCTCTTCAGTTATGTGAGTTTTATCCCGTTTCCAACGAAATTCTCAGAGAAGTACAAATATCCACTTGCATATTCTACACAAAGTGTGTTTTGAAAGTGCTCCATCAAAAGATATGCTCAGCTCTGTGAGTTAAACTCAATCATCACAAAGAATTTTCTGAGAATGCTTCCGTCTTGTTTTAGGATGAAGTTATTTCCTTTACGACGATAGGCCTCAAAGAGTTCCAAATCTCCACTTGCAGATTCTGCAGAAGGAGTGTTTCAAACCTGAACTCTCAGAGAAAGGTTCAACACTGTGAGTTGAATGCAAGCATCACGAAGAGGGTTCTGAGAATGCTTCTGTTTAGATAGGTGAGTTTTCTCCCGTATCCAACGAAATCCTCAGAGAGGTCCAAATATCCACTTGCAGATTCTACAGAAAGTGTGTTTTGAAACTGCTCCATCCAAAGGAATGTTCAGCTCTGTGAGTTGAACTCAATCGTCACAAAGTGTTTCCTGGGAATGCTACTGTCTAGTTTTTATGGGCAGTTATATCCTCTGCTGCCATAGGCCTCAAAGCGGTCCAAATCTCCCCTTTCAGATTCTACCAAAAGTGTGTTTCCAAACGGCTCTATCAAAGGGAATGTTCAACTCTGTGACTTGAATGCAATCATCACAAAGCAGTTTCTGAGAATGCTTCCATGTAGCTTTTATGAGCAGATATTTCCTTTTCCACCCCAGACCTCGAAGCCCTCCAAATGTCCCCTTGCAGATGCTAGAAAGAGAGGGTTTCAAAGCTGCTCTATCAAAAGGAAAGTACAACTCTGTGAGTTGAATGCAAACATCACAAAGAAGTTCCAGAGCATGCTTCCGTTTAGCTTTTATGGGAAGATTATCCCTTTTCCATCGAAATGTTCAAAGGGTTCCACATATCCGCTTGCAGATTCCACCGAAAGAGTGTTTCCAAACTGCTGTATCAAAAGGAATCTTCAACTCCGTGAGTTGAATGCAATCATCACAAAGAAGTTTCTGACAATGCTTCTCTCTAGTTTTTATATGAAGATATTTCCTTTTCCACCACAGGCCTGAAAGCGCTCCAAATGTCCACTTGGAGACTCTACGAAAAGAATGTTTCAAAACTGCTCTATGAAAAGCAATGTTATACTCTGGGAGTTGAACACAAGCCTCACAAAGGAGTTTCTGAGAATGCTTCTGTTTACTTTTTACGTGAAGATATTCCCGTTTCCAAAGAAATCTTCACAGACTTCCACCTATCCATTTGCAGATGCTTGAAAAAGAGAGTTTCAAAACTGCTCTATCAAAAGGAATGTTCAACTCTGTGAGTTGAATGCAGTCATCACAGAGAAGTTTCTGAGAAGGCTTCTGTCTAGATTTTATGTGAAGATATACCCGTTTCGAACGAAGGCCACAAAGTGCTCCAAATATCCACTTGCAGGTCCTCCAACAAGAGTGTTTCAAACGTGAACTATCAAAGGAAGGTTCAACTCTGGACTTTGAATGCAAACGTCAGAAAGATGTTTCTGCGAAAGCTTCTGTTTAGTTAGGTGACGTTATCCCGTTTCCAACGAAATCCTCAGAGAGGTCCAAATATCCACCTGCAGATTCTGCAAAAAGTGTGTTTCCAAACTGCTCCACCCAAAGGCATGTTCAGCTCTGTGAGTTAAACTCAATCATCACAAAGTATTTTCTGAGAATGCTTCTGTCCAGTTTTTACATGAAGCTGTTTCCTTTACTACCGTAGGCCTCAAAGCGTTCCAAATCTCCACTTGCAGATACTACGAAAAGGGCGTTTCAACCTGAACTCTCAAGGGAAGGTTCAACTCTGTCAGTTGAATGCCAACATCACAAAGAAGTTGCTGGGAATGTTTCTCTTCAGTTATGTGAGTTTTATCCCGTTTCCAACGAAATTCTCAGAGAAGTACAAATATCCACTTGCATATTCTACAAAAAGTGTGTTTTGAATGTGCTCCATCAAAAGATATGCTCAGCTCTGTGAGTTAAACTCAATCATCACAAAGAATTTTCTGAGAATGTTTCTGTCTTGTTTTAGGATGAAGTTATTTCCTTTACGACGATAGGCCTCAAAGAGGTCCAAATCTCCACTTGCAGATTCTGCAGAAGGAGTGTTTCAAACCTGAACTATCAGAGAAAGGTTCAACACTGTGAGTTGAATGCAAGCATCACGAAGAAGGTTCTGAGAATGCTTCTGTTTAGATAGGTGAGTTTTCTCTCGTATCCAACGAAATCCTCAGAGAGGTCCAAATATCCACTTGCAGATTCTACAGAAAGTGTGTTTTGAAACTGCTCCATCTAAAGGAATGGTCAGCTGTGTGAGTTGAACTCAATCGTAACAAAGTGTTTCCTGGGAATGCTACTGTCTAGTTTTTATGGGCAGTTATATCCTCTGCTGCCATAGGCCTCAAAGCGGTCCAAATCTCCCCTTTCAGATTCTACCAAAAGTGTGTTTCCAAACGGCTCTATCAAAGGGAATGTTCAACTCTGTGACTTGAATGCAATCATCACAAAGCAGTTTCTGAGAATGCTTCCATGTAGCTTTTATGAGCAGATATTTCCTTTTCCACCCCAGGCCTCGAAGCCCTCCAAATGTCCCCTTGCAGATGCTAGAAAGAGAGGGTTTCAAAGCTGCTCTATCAAAAGGAAAGTACAACTCTGTGAGTTGAATGCAAACATCACAAAGAAGTTCCTGAGCATGCTTCCGTTTAGCTTTTATGGGAAGATTATCCCTTTTCCATCGAAATGTTCAAAGAGGTCCACATATCCGCTTGCAGATTCCACCGAAAGAGTGTTTCCAAACTGCTGTATCGAAAGGAATCTTCAACTCCGTGAGTTGAATGCAATCATCACAAAGAAGTTTCTGACAACGCTTCTCTCTAGTTTTTATGTGAAGATATTTCCTTTTCCACCACAGGCCTGAAAGCGCTCCAAATGTCCACTTGGAGACTCTACGAAAAGAATGTTTCAAAACTGCTCTATGAAAAGCAATGTTATACTCTGGGAGTTGAACACAAGCCTCACAAAGGAGTTTCTGAGAATGCTTCTGTTTACTTTTTACGTGAAGATATTCCCGTTTCCAAAGAAATCTTCACAGACTTCCACCTATCCATTTGCAGATGCTTGAAAAAGAGAGTTTCAAAACTGCTCTATCAAAAGGAATGTTCAACTCTGTGAGTTGAATGCAGTCATCACAGAGAAGTTTCTGAGAAGGCTTCTGTGTAGATTTTATGTGAAGATATACCCGTTTCGAACGAAGGCCACAAAGTGCTCCAAATATGCACTTGCATGTCCTCCAACAAGAGTGTTTCAAACGAGAACTATCAAAGGAAGGTTCAACTCTGGACTTTGAATGCAAACGTCAGAAAGATGTTTCTGCGAAAGCTTCTGTTTAGTTAGGTGACGTTATCCCGTTTCCAACGAAATCCTCAGAGAGGTCCAAATATCCACCTGCAGATTCTGCAAAAAGTGTGTTTCCAAACTGCTCCACCCAAAGGCATGTTCAGCTCTGTGAGTTAAACTCAATCATCACAAAGTATTTTCTGAGAATGCTTCTGTCCAGTTTTTACATGAAGCTGTTTCCTTTACTACCGTAGGCCTCAAAGCGTTCCAAATCTCCACTTGCAGATACTACGAAAAGGGCGTTTCAACCTGAACTCACAAGGGAAGGTTCAACTCTGAGAGTTGAATGCCAACATCACAAAGAAGTTCTGGGAATGTTTCTCTTCAGTTATGTGAGTTTTATCCCGTTTCCAACGAAATTCTCAGAGAAGTACAAATATCCACTTGCATATTCTACAAAAAGTGTGTTTTGAAAGTGCTCCATCAAAAGATATGCTCAGCTCTGTGAGTTAAACTCAATCATCACAAAGAATTTTCTGAGAATGCTTCTGTCTTGTCTTAAGATGAAGTTATTTCCTTTACGACGATAGGCCTCAAAGAGGTCCAAATCTCCTCTTGCAGATTCTGCAGAAGGAGTGTTTCAAACCTGAACTATCAGAGAAAGGTTCAACACTGAGAGTTGAATGCAAGCATCACGAAGAAGGTTCTGAGAATGCTTCTGTTTAGATAGGTGAGTTTTCTCCCGTATCCAACGAAATCCTCAGAGAGGTCCAAATATCCACTTGCAGATTCTACAGAAAGTGTGTTTTGAAACTGCTCCATCCAAAGGAATGTTCAGCTCTGTGAGTTGAACTCAATCGTCACAAAGTGTTTCCTGGGAATGCTACTGTCTAGTTTTTATGGGCAGTTACATCCTCTGCTGCCATAGGCCTCAAAGCGGTCCAAATCTCCCCTTTCAGATTCTACCAAAAGTGTGTTTCCAAACGGCTCTATCAAAGGGAATGTTCAACTCTGTGACTTGAATGCAATCATCACAAAGCAGTTTCTGAGAATGCTTCCATGTAGCTTTTAGGAGAAGATATTTCCTTTTCCACCCCAGGCCTCGAAGCCCTCCAAATGTCCCCTTGCAGATGCTAGAAAGAGAGGGTTTCAAAGCTGCTCTATCAAAAGGAAAGTACAACTCTGTGAGTTGAATGCAAACATCACAAAGAAGCTCCTGAGCATGCTTCCGTTTAGCTTTTATGGGAAGATTATCCCTTTTCCATCGAAATGTTCAAAGAGGTCCACATATCCGCTTGCAGATTCCACCGAAAGAGTGTTTCCAAACTGCTGTATCAAAAGGAATCTTCAACTCCGTGAGTTGAATGCAATCATCACAAAGAAGTTTCTGACAACGCTTCTCTCTAGTTTTTATGTGAAGATATTTCCTTTTCCACCACAGGCCTGAAAGCGCTCCAAATGTCCACTTGGAGACTCTACGAAAAGAATGTTTCAAAACTGCTCTATGAAAAGCAATGTTATACTCTGGGAGTTGAACACAAGCCTCACAAAGGACTTTCTGAGAATGCTTCTGTTTACATTTTACGTGAGGATATTCCCGTTTCCAAAGAAATCTTCACAGAGTTCCACGTATCCATTTGCAGATGCTAGAAAAAGAGAGTTTCAAAACTGCTCTGTCAAAAGAAATGTTCAAATCTGTGAGTTGAATGCAATCATCACAGAGAAGTTTCTGAGAAGGCTTCTGTCTAGATTTTATGTGAAGATATACCTGTTTCGAACGAAGGCCACAAAGTGCTCCAAATGTCCACTTGCAGGTCCTCCAAAAAGAGTGTTTCAAACGTGAACTATCAAAGGAAGGTTCAACTCTGGACTTTGAATGCAAACGTCAGAAAGATGTTTCTGCGAAAGCTTCTGTTTAGTTAGGTGACGTTATCCCGTTTCCAACGAAATCCTCAGAGAGGTCCAAATATCCACCTGCAGAGTCTACAAAAAGTGTGTTTCAAAACTGCTCCACCCAAAGGAATGTTCAGCTCTGTGAGTTAAACACAATCATCACAAAGTATTTTCTGAGAATGCTTCTGTCCAGTTTTTACATGAAGCTGTTTCCTTTACTACCGTAGGCCTCAAAGCGTTCCAAATCTCCACTTGCAGATACTACGAAAAGAGCGATTCAACCTGAACTCACAAGGGAAGGTTCAACTCTATCAGTTGAATGCCAACATCACAAAGAAGTTCTGAGAATGTTTCTCTTCAGTTATGTGAGGTTTATCCCGTTTCCCACGAAATTCTCAGGGAAGTCCAAATATCCACTTGCATATTCTACAAAAAGTGTGTTTTGAAAATGCTCCATCAAAAGATATGCTCAGCTCTGTGTGTTAAACTCAATCATCACAAAGAATTTTCTGAGAATGCTTCTGTCTTGTTTTTAGATGAGGTTATATCCTTTACTACGATAGGCCTCAAAGAGGTCCAAATCTCCACTTGCAGATTCTGCAGAAGGAGTGTTTAAAACCTGAACTATCAGAGAAAGGTTGAACACTGTGAGTTGAATGCAAGCATCACGAAGAAGGTTCTGAGAATGCTTCTGTCTTGTTTTTAGATGAAGTTCTTTCCTTTACTACGATAGGCCTCAAAGAGGTCCAAATCTCCACTTGCAGATTCTGCAGAAGGAGTGTTTAAAACCTGAACTATCAGAGAAAGGTTCAACACTGTGAGTTGAATGCAAGCATCACGAAGAAGGTTCTGAGAATGCTTCTGTTTAGATAGGTGAGTTTTCTCCCGTATCCAACGAAATCCTCAGAGAGGTCCAACTATCCACTTGCAGATTCTACAGAAAGTGTGTTTTGAAACTGCTCCATCCAAAGGAATGTTCAGCTCTGTGAGTTGAACTCAATCGTCACAAAGTGTTTCCTGGGAATGCTTCCATGTAGCTTTTATGAGCAGATATTTCCTTTTCCACCCCAGGCCTCGAAGCCCTCCAAATGTCCCCTTGCAGATGCTAGAAAGAGAGGGTTTCAAAGCTGCTCTATCAAAAGGAAAGTACAACTCTGTGAGTTGAATGCAAACATCACAAAGAAGTTCCTGAGCATGCTTCCGTTTATCTTTTATGGGAAGATTATCCCTTTTCCATCGAAATGTTCAAAGAGGTCCACATATCCGCTTGCAGATTCCACCGAAATAGTGTTTCCAAACTGCTGTATCAAAAGGAATCTTCAACTCCGTGAGTTGAATGCAATCATCACAAAGAAGTTTCTGACAACGCTTCTCTCTAGTTTTTATGTGAAGATATTTCCTTTTCCACCACAGGCCTGAAAGCGCTCCAAATGTCCACTTGGAGACTCTACGAAAAGAATGTTTCAAAACTGCTCTATGAAAAGCAATGTTATACTCTGGGAGTTGAACACAAGCCTCACAAAGGAGTTTCTGAGAATGCTTCTGTTTACTTTTTACGTGAAGATATTCCCGTTTCCAAAGAAATCTTCACAGACTTCCACCTATCCATTTGCAGATGCTAGAAAAAGAGAGTTTCAAAACTGCTCTATCAAAAGGAATGTTCAACTCTGTGAGTTGAATGCAGTCATCACAGAGAAGTTTCTGAGAAGGCTTCTGTCTAGATTTTATGTGAAGATATACCCGCTTCGAACGAAGGCCACAAAGTGCTCCAATTATCCACTTGCAGGTCCTCCAACAAGAGTGTTTCAAACGTGAACTATCAAAGGAAGGTTCAACTCTGGACTTTGAATGCAAACGTCAGAAAGATGTTTCTGCGAAAGATTCTGTTTAGTTAGGTGACGTTATCCCGTTTCCAAAGAAATCCTCAGAGAGGTCCAAATATCCACCTGCAGATACTGCAAAAAGTGTATTTCCAAACTGCTCCACCCAAAGGAATGTTCAGCTCTGTGAGTTAAACTCAATCATCACAAAGTATTTTCTGAGAATGCTTCTGTCCAGTTTTTACATGAAGCTGTTTCCTTTACTACCGTAGGCCTCAAAGCGTTCCAAATCTCCACTTGCAGATACTACGAAAAGGGCGTTTCAACCTGAACTCACAAGGGAAGGTTCAACTCTGTCAGTTGAATGCCAACATCACAAAGAAGTTCTGGGAATGTTGTTTCTCTTCAGTTATGTGAGGTTTATCCCGTTTCCCACGAAATTCTCAGAGAAGTCCAAATATCCACTTGGATATTCTACAAAAAGTGTGTTTTCAAAATGCTCCATCAAAAGATATGCTCAGCTCTGTGTGTTAAACTCAATCATCACAAAGAATTTTCTGAGAATGCTTCTGTCTTGTTTTAGGATGAAGTTATTTCCTTTACGACGATAGGCCTCAAAGAGGTCCAAATCTCCACTTGCAGATTCTGCAGAAGGAGTGTTTCAAACCTGAACTATCAGACAAAGGTTCAACACTGTGAGTTGAATGCAAGCATCACGAAGAAGGTTCTGAGAATGCTTCTGTTTAGATAGGTGAGTTTTCTCCCGTATCCAACGAAATCCTCAGAGAGGTCCAAATATCCACTTGCAGATTCTACAGAAAGTGTGTTTTGAAACTGCTCCATCCAAAGGAATGTTCAGCTCTGTGAGTTGAACTCAATCGTCACAAAGTGTTTCCTGGGAATGCTACTGTCTAGTTTTTATGGGCAGTTATATCCTCTGCTGCCATAGGCCTCAAAGCGGTCCAAATCTCCCCTTTCAGATTCTACCAAAAGTGTGTTTCCAAACGGCTCTATCAAAGGGAATGTTCAACTCTGTGACTTGAATGCAATCATCACAAAGCAGTTTCTGAGAATGCTTCCATGTAGCTTTTATGAGCAGATATTTCCTTTTCCACCCCAGGCCTCGAAGCCCTCCAAATGTCCCCTTGCAGATGCTAGAAAGAGAGGGTTTCAAAGCTGCTCTATCAAAAGGAAAGTACAACTCTGTGAGTTGAATGCAAACATCACAAAGAAGTTCCTGAGCATGCTTCCGTTTAGCTTTTATGGGAAGATTATCCCTTTTCCATCGAAATGTTCAAAGAGGTCCACATATCCGCTTGCAGATTCCACCGAAAGAGTGTTTCCAAACTACTGTATCGAAAGGAATCTTCAACTCCGTGAGTTGAATGCAATCATCACAAAGAAGTTTCTGACAACGCTTCTCTCTAGTTTTTATGTGAAGATATTTCCTTTTCCACCACAGGCCTGAAAGCGCTCCAAATGTCCACTTGGAGACTCTACGAAAAGAATGTTTCAAAACTGCTCTATGAAAAGCAATGTTATACTCTGGGAGTTGAACACAAGCCTCACAAAGGAGTTTCTGAGAATGCTTCTGTTTACTTTTTACGTGAAGATATTCCCGTTTCCAAAGAAATCTTCACAGACTTCCACCTATCCATTTGCAGATGCTAGAAAAAGAGAGTTTCAAAACTGCTCTATCAAAAGGAATGTTCAACTCTGTGAGTTGAATGCAGTCATCACAGAGAAGTTTCTGAGAAGGCTTCTGGCTAGATTTTATGTGAAGATATACCCGTTTCGAACAAAGGCAACAAAGTGCTCCAAATATCCACTTGCAGGTCCTCCAACAAGAGTGTTTCAAACGTGAATTATCAAAGGAAGGTTCAACTCTGGACTTTGAATGCAAACGTCAGAAAGATGTTTCTGCGAAAGCTTCTGTTTAGTTAGGTGACGTTATCCCGTTTCCAACGAAATCCTCAGAGAGGTCCAAATATCCACCTGCAGATTCTGCAAAAAGTGTGTTTCCAAACTGCTCCACCCAAAGGCATGTTCAGCTCTGTGAGTTAAACTCAATCATCACAAAGTATTTTCTGAGAATGCTTCTGTCCAGTTTTTACATGAAGCTGTTTCCTTTACTACCGTAGGCCTCAAAGCGTTCCAAATCTCCACTTGCAGATACTACGAAAAGGGCGTTTCAACCTGAACTCACAAGGGAAGGTTCAACTCTGAGAGTTGAATGCCAACATCACAAAGAAGTTCTGGGAATGTTTCTCTTCAGTTATGTGAGTTTTATCCCGTTTCCAACGAAATTCTCAGAGAAGTACAAATATCCACTTGCATATTCTACAAAAAGTGTGTTTTGAAAGTGCTCCATCAAAAGATATGCTCAGCTCTGTGAGTTAAACTCAATCATCACAAAGAATTTTCTGAGAATGCTTCTGTCTTGTTTTAGGATGAAGTTATTTCCTTTACGACGATAGGCCTCAAAGAGGTCCAAATCTCCACTTGCAGATTCTGCAGAAGGAGTGTTTCAAACCTGAACTATCAGAGAAAGGTTCAACACTGTGAGTTGAATGCAAGCATCACGAAGAAGGTTCTGAGAATGCCTCTGTTTAGATAGGTGAGTTTTCTCCCTTATCCAACGAAATCCTCAGAGAGGTCCAAATATCCACTTGCAGATTCTACCGAAAGTGTGTTTTGAAACTGCTCCATCCAAAGGAATGTTCAGCTCTGTGAGTTGAACTCAATCGTCACAAAGTGTTTCCTGGGAATGCTACTGTCTAGTTTTTATGGGCAGTTACATCCTCTGCTGCCATAGGCCTCAAAGCGGTCCAAATCTCCCCTTTCAGATTCTACCAAAAGTGTGTTTCCAAACGGCTCTATCAAAGGGAATGTTCAACTCTGTGACTTGAATGCAATCATCACAAAGCAGTTTCTGAGAATGCTTCCATGTAGCTTTTAGGAGAAGATATTTCCTTTTCCACCCCAGGCCTCGAAGCCCTCCAAATGTCCCCTTGCAGATGCTAGAAAGAGAGGGTTTCAAAGCTGCTCTATCAAAAGGAAAGTACAACTCTGTGAGTTGAATGCAAACATCACAAAGAAGCTCCTGAGCATGCTTCCGTTTAGCTTTCATGGGAAGATTATCCCTTTTCCATCGAAATGTTCAAAGAGGTCCACATATCCGCTTGCAGATTCCACCGAAAGAGTGTTTCCAAACTGCTGTATCAAAAGGAATCTTCAACTCCGTGAGTTGAATGCAATCATCACAAAGAAGTTTCTGACAATGCTTCTCTCTAGTTTTTATGTGAAGATATTTCCTTTTCCACCACAGGCCTGAAAGCGCTCCAAATGTCCACTTGGAGACTCTACGAAAAGAATGTTTCAAAACTGCTCTATGAAAAGCAATGTTATACTCTGGGAGTTGAACACAAGCCTCACAAAGGAGTTTCTGAGAATGCTTCTGTTTACTTTTTACGTGAAGATATTCCCGTTTCCAAAGAAATCTTCACAGACTTCCACCTATCCATTTGCAGATGCTAGAAAAAGAGAGTTTCAAAACTGCTCTATCAAAAGGAATGTTCAACTCTGTGAGTTGAATGCAGTCATCACAGAGAAGTTTCTGAGAAGGCTTCTGTCTAGATTTTATGTGAAGATATACCCGTTTCGAACGAAGGCCACAAAGTGCTCCAAATATCCACTTGCAGGTCCTCCAACAAGAGTGTTTCAAACGTGAACTATCAAAGGAAGGTTCAACTCTGGACTTTGAATGCAAACGTCAGAAAGATGTTTCTGCGAAAGCTTCTGTTTAGTTAGGTGACGTTATCCCGTTTCCAACGAAATCCTCAGAGAGGTCCAAATATCCACCTGCAGATTCTGCAAAAAGTGTGTTTCCAAACTGCTCCACCCAAAGGCATGTTCAGCTCTGTGAGTTAAACTCAATCATCACAAAGTATTTTCTGAGAATGCTTCTGTCCAGTTGTTACATGAAGCTGTTTCCTTTACTACCGTAGGCCTCAAAGCGTTCCAAATCTCCACTTGCAGATACTACGAAAAGGGCGTTTCAACCTGAACTCACAAGGGAAGGTTCAACTCTGTCAGTTGAATGCCAACATCACAAAGAAGTTCTGGGAATGTTTCTCTTCAGTTATGTGAGTTTTATCCCGTTTCCAACGAAATTCTCAGAGAAGTACAAATATCCACTTGCATATTCTACAAAAAGTGTGTTTTGAAAGTGCTCCATCAAAAGATATGCTCAGCTCTGTGAGTTAAACTCAATCATCACAAAGAATTTTCTGAGAATGCTTCTGTCTTGTTTTAGGATGAAGTTATTTCCTTTACGACGATAGGCCTCAAAGAGGTCCAAATCTCCACTTCCAGATTCTGCAGAAGGAGTGTTTCAAACCTGAACTATCAGAGAAAGGTTCAACACTGTGAGTTGAATGCAAGCATCACGAAGAAGGTTCTGAGAATGCTTCTGTTTAGATAGGTGAGTTTTCTCCCGTATCCAACGAAATCCTCAGAGAGGTCCAAATATCCACTTGCAGATTCTACAGAAAGTGTGTTTTGAAACTGCTCCATCCAAAGGGAATGTTCAGCTCTGTGAGTTGAACTCAGTCGTCACAAAGTGTTTCCTAGGAATGCTACTGTCTAGTTTTTATGGGCAGTTATATCCTCTGCTGCCATAGGCCTCAAAGCGGTCCAAATCTCCCCTTTCAGATTCTACCAAAAGTGTGTTTCCAAACGGCTCTATCAAAGGGAATGTTCAACTCTGTGACTTGAATGCAATCATCACAAAGCAGTTTCTGAGAATGCTTCCATGTAGCTTTTAGGAGAAGATATTTCCTTTTCCACCCCAGGCCTCGAAGCCCTCCAAATGTCCCCTTGCAGATGCTAGAAAGAGAGGGTTTCAAAGCTGCTCTATCAAAAGGAAAGTACAACTCTGTGAGTTGAATGCAAACATCACAAAGAAGCTCCTGAGCATGCTTCCGTTTAGCTTTCATGGGAAGATTATCCCTTTTCCATCGAAATGTTCAAAGAGGTCCACATATCCGCTTGCAGATTCCACCGAAAGAGTGTTTCCAAACTGCTGTATCAAAAGGAATCTTCAACTCCGTGAGTTGAATGCAATCATCACAAAGAAGTTTCTGACAATGCTTCTCTCTAGTTTTTATGTGAAGATATTTCCTTTTCCACCACAGGCCTGAAAGCGCTCCAAATGTCCACTTGGAGACTCAACGAAAAGAATGTTTCAAAACTGCTCTATGAAAAGCAATGTTATCCTCTGGGAGTTGAACACAAGCCTCACAAAGGAGTTTTTGAGAATGCTTCTGTTTACTTTTTACGTGAAGATATTCCCGTTTCCAAAGAAATCTTCACAGACTTCCACCTATCCATTTGCAGATGCTTGAAAAAGAGAGTTTCAAAACTGCTCTATCAAAAGGAATGTTCAACTCTGTGAGTTGAATGCAGTCATCACAGAGAAGTTTCTGAGAAGGCTTCTGTCTAGATTTTATGTGAAGATATACCCGTTTCGAACAAAGGCCACAAAGTGCTCCAAATATCCACTTGCAGGTCCTCCAACAAGAGTGTTTCAAACGTGAACTATCAAAGGAAGGTTCAACTCTGGACTTTGAATGCAAACGTCAGAAAGATGTTTCTGCGAAAGCTTCTGTTTAGTTAGGTGACGTTATCCCTTTTCCAACGAAATCCTCAGAGAGGTCCAAATATCCACCTGCAGATTCTGCAAAAAGTGTGTTTCCAAACTGCTCCACCCAAAGGCATGTTCAGCTCTGTGAGTTAAACTCAATCATCACAAAGTATTTTCTGAGAATGCTTCTGTCCAGTTTTTACATGAAGCTGTTTCCTTTACTACCGTAGGCCTCAAAGCGTTCCAAATATCCACTTGCAGATACTACGAAAAGAGCGTTTCAACCTGAACTCACAAGGGAAGGTTCAACTCTGTCAGTTGAATGCCAACGTCACAAAGAAGTTCTGGGAATGTTTCTCTTCAGTTATGTGAGTTTTATCCCGTTTCCAACGAAATTCTCAGAGAAGTACAAATATCCACTTGCATCTTCTACAAAAAGTGTGTTTTGAAAGTGCTCCATCAAAAGATATGCTCAGCTCTGTGAGTTAAACTCAATCATCACAAAGAATTTTCTGAGAATGCTTCTGTCTTGTTTTAGGATGAAGTTATTTCCTTTACGACGATAGGCCTCAAAGAGGTCCAAATCTCCACTTGCAGATTCTGCAGAAGGAGTGTTTCAAACCTGAACTATCAGAGAAAGGTTCAACACTGTGAGTTGAATGCAAGCATCACGAAGAAGGTTCTGAGAATGCTTCTGTTTAGATAGGTGAGTTTTCTCCCGTATCCAACGAAATCCTCAGAGAGGTCCAAATATCCACTTGCAGATTCTACAGAAAGTGTGTTTTGAAACTGCTCCATCCAAAGGAATGTTCAGCTCTGTGAGTTGAACTCAATCGTCACAAAGTGTTTTCCTGGGAATGCTACTGTCTAGTTTTTATGGGCAGTTATATCCTCTGCTGCCATAGGCCTCAAAGCGGTCCAAATCTCCCCTTTCAGATTCTACCAAAAGTGTGTTTCCAAACGGCTCTATCAAAGGGAATGTTCAACTCTGTGACTTGAATGCA
Source organism: Homo sapiens (assembly GCF_000001405.40). Classification (NCBI taxonomy): domain Eukaryota; kingdom Metazoa; phylum Chordata; class Mammalia; order Primates; family Hominidae; genus Homo; species Homo sapiens. The sequence continues at coordinate 122,409,309 of NC_000001.11, read as the reverse complement.
ATCATCACAAAGCAGTTTCTGAGAATGCTTCCATGTAGCTTTAATGAGCAGATATTTCCTTTTCCACCCCAGGCCTCGAAGCCCTCCAAATGTCCCCTTGCAGATGCTAGAAAGAGAGGGTTTCAAAGCTGCTCTATCAAAAGGAAAGTACAACTCTGTGAGTTGAATGCAAACATCACAAAGAAGCTCCTGAGCATGCTTCCGTTTAGCTTTTATGGGAAGATTATCCCTTTTCCATCGAAATGTTCAAAGAGGTCCACATATCCGCTTGCAGATTCCACCGAAAGAGTGTTTCCAAACTGCTGTATCAAAAGGAATCTTCAACTCCGTGAGTTGAATGCAATCATCACAAAGAAGTTTCTGACAACGCTTCTCTCTAGTTTTTATGTGAAGATATTTCCTTTTCCACCACAGGCCTGAAAGCGCTCCAAATGTCCACTTGGAGACTCTACGAAAAGAATGTTTCAAAACTGCTCTATGAAAAGCAATGTTATACTCTGGGAGTTGAACACAAGCCTCACAAAGGAGTTTCTGAGAATGCTTCTGTTTACTTTTTACGTGAAGATATTCCCGTTTCCAAAGAAATCTTCACAGACTTCCACCTATCCATTTGCAGATGCTAGAAAAAGAGAGTTTCAAAACTGCTCTATCAAAAGGAATGTTCAACTCTGTGAGTTGAATGCAGTCATCACAGAGAAGTTTCTGAGAAGGCTCTGTCTAGATTTTATGTGAAGATATACCCGTTTCGAACGAAGGCCACAAAGTGCTCCAAATATCCACTTGCAGGTCCTCCAACAAGAGTGTTTCAAACGTGAACTATCAAAGAAAGGTTCAACTCTGGACTTTGAATGCAAACGTCAGAAAGATGGTTCTGCGAAAGCTTCTGTTTAGTTAGGTGACGTTATCCCGTTTCCAACGAAATCCTCAGAGAGGTCCAAATATCCACCTGCAGATTCTGCAAAAAGTGTGTTTCCAAACTGCTCCACCCAAAGGCATGTTCAGCTCTGTGAGTTAAACTCAATCATCACAAAGTATTTTCTGAGAATGCTTCTGTCCAGTTTTTACATGAAGCTGTTTCCTTTACTACCGTAGGCCTCAAAGCGTTCCAAATCTCCACTTGCAGATACTACGAAAAGAGCGTTTCAACCTGAACTCACGAGGGAAGGTTCAACTCTGTCAGTTGAATGCCAACATCACAAAGAAGTTCTGGGAATGTTTCTCTTCAGTTATGTGAGTTTTATCCCGTTTCCAACGAAATTCTCAGAGAAGTACAAATATCCACTTGCATATTCTACAAAAAGTGTGTTTTGAAAGTGCTCCATCAAAAGATATGCTCAGCTCTGTGAGTTAAACTCAATCATCACAAAGAATTTTCTGAGAATGCTTCTGTCTTGTTTTAGGATGAAGTTATTTCCTTTACGACGATAGGCCTCAAAGAGGTCCAAATCTCCACTTGCAGATTCTGCAGAAGGAGTGTTTCAAACCTGAACTATCAGAGAAAGGTTCAACACTGTGAGTTGAATGCAAGCATCACGAAGAAGGTTCTGAGAATGCTTCTGTTTAGATAGGTGAGTTTTCTCCCGTATCCAACGAAATCCTCAGAGAGGTCCAAATATCCACTTGCAGATTCTACAGAAAGTGTGTTTTGAAACTGCTCCATCCAAAGGAATGTTCAGCTCTGTGAGTTGAACTCAATCGTCACAAAGTGTTTCCTGGGAATGCTACTGTCTAGTTTTTATGGGCAGTTATATCCTCTGCTGCCATAGGCCTCAAAGCGGTCCAAATCTCCCCTTTCAGATTCTACCAAAAGTGTGTTTCCAAACGGCTCTATCAAAGGGAATGTTCAACTCTGTGACTTGAATGCAATCATCACAAAGCAGTTTACTGAGAATGCTTCCATGTAGCTTTTAGGAGAAGATATTTCCTTTTCCACCCCAGGCCTCGAAGCCCTCCAAATGTCCCCTTGCAGATGCTAGAAAGAGAGGGTTTCAAAGCTGCTCTATCAAAAGGAAAGTACAACTCTGTGAGTTGAATGCAAACATCACAAAGAAGCTCCTGAGCATGCTTCCGTTTAGCTTTCATGGGAAGATTATCCCTTTTCCATCGAAATGTTCAAAGAGGTCCACATATCCGCTTGCAGATTCCACCGAAAGAGTGTTTCCAAACTGCTGTATCAAAAGGAATCTTCAACTCCGTGAGTTGAATGCAATCATCACAAAGAAGTTTCTGACAATGCTTCTCTCTAGTTTTTATGTGAAGATATTTCCTTTTCCACCACAGGCCTGAAAGCGCTCCAAATGTCCACTTGGAGACTCTACGAAAAGAATGTTTCAAAACTGCTCTATGAAAAGCAATGTTATACTCTGGGAGTTGAACACAAGCCTCACAAAGGACTTTCTGAGAATGCTTCTGTTTACTTTTTACGTGAAGATATTCCCGTTTCCAAAGAAATCTTCACAGACTTCCACCTATCCATTTGCAGATGCTAGAAAAAGAGAGTTTCAAAACTGCTCTATCAAAAGGAATGTTCAACTCTGTGAGTTGAATGCAGTCATCACAGAGAAGTTTCTGAGAAGGCTTCTGTCTAGATTTTATGTGAAGATATAGCCGTTTCGAACGAAGGCCACAAAGTGCTCCAAATATCCACTTGCAGGTCCTCCAAAAAGAGTGTTTCAAACGTGAACTACCAAAGGAAGGCTCCACTCTGGACTTTGAATGCAAACGTCAGAAAGATTTTTCTGCGAAAGCTTCTGTTTAGTTAGGTGACGTTATCCCGTTTCCAACGAAATCCTCAGAGAGGTCCAAATATCCACCTGCAGAGTCTACAAAAAGTGTGTTTCAAAACTGCTCCACCAAAAGGAATGTTCAGCTCTGTGAGTTAAACTCAATCATCCCAAAGTATTTTCTGAGAATTCTTCTGTCCAGTTTTTACATGAAGCTGTTTCCTTTACTACCGTAGGCCTCAAAGCGTTCCAAATCTCCACTTGCAGATACTACGAAAAGAGCGATTCAACCTGAACTCACAAGGGAAGGTTCAACTCTATCAGTTGAATGCCAACATCACAAAGAAGTTCTGAGAATGTTTCTCTTCAGTTATGTGAGGTTTATCCCGTTTCCCACGAAATTCTCAGGGAAGTCCAAATATCCACTTGCATATTCTACAAAAAGTGTGTTTTGAAAATGCTCCATCAAAAGATATGCTCAGCTCTGTGTGTTAAACTCAATCATCACAAAGAATTTTCTGAGAATGCTTCTGTCTTGTTTTAGGATGAAGTTATTTCCTTTACGACGATAGGCCTCAAAGAGGTCCAAATCTCCACTTGCAGATTCTGCAGAAGGAGTGTTTCAAACCTGAACTATCAGAGAAAGTTTCAGCACTGTGAGTTGAATGCAAGCATCACGAAGAAGGTTCTGAGAATGCCTCTGTTTAGATAGGTGAGTTTTCTCCCGTATCCAACGAAATCCTCAGAGAGGTCCAAATATCCACTTGCAGATTCTACAGAAAGTGTGTTTTGAAACTGCTCCATCCAAAGGAATGTTCAGCTCTGTGAGTTGAACTCAATCGTCACAAAGTGTTTCCTGGGAATGCTACTGTCTAGTTTTTATGGGCAGTTATATCCTCTGCTGCCATAGGCCTCAAAGCGGTCCAAATCTCCCCTTTCAGATTCTACCAAAAGTGTGTTTCCAAACGGCTCTATCACAGGGAATGTTCAACTCTGTGACTTGAATGCAATCATCACAAAGCAGTTTCTGAGAATGCTTCCATGTAGCTTTTATGAGCAGATATTTCCTTTTCCACCCCAGGCCTCGAAGCCCTCCAAATGTCCCCTTGCAGATGCTAGAAAGAGAGGGTTTCAAAGCTGCTCTATCAAAAGGAAAGTACAACTCTGTGAGTTGAATGCAAACATCACAAAGAAGTTCCAGAGCATGCTTCCGTTTAGCTTTTATGGGAAGATTATCCCTTTTCCATCGAAATGTTCAAAGAGGTCCACATATCCGCTTGCAGATTCCACCGAAAGAGTGTTTCCAAACTGCTGTATCAAAAGGAATCTTCAACTCCGTGAGTTGAATGCAATCATCACAAAGAAGTTTCTGACAACGCTTCTCTCTAGTTTTTATGTGAAGATATTTCCTTTTCCACCACAGGCCTGAAAGCGCTCCAAATGTCCACTTGGAGACTCTACGAAAAGAATGTTTCAAAACTGCTCTATGAAAAGCAATGTTATACTCTGGGAGTTGAACACAAGCCTCACAAAGGAGTTTCTGAGAATGCTTCTGTTTACTTTTTACGTGAAGATATTCCCGTTTCCAAAGAAATCTTCACAGACTTCCACCTATCCATTTGCAGATGCTAGAAAAAGAGAGTTTCAAAACTGCTCTATCAAAAGGAATGTTCAACTCTGTGAGTTGAATGCAGTCATCACAGAGAAGTTTCTGAGAAGGCTTCTGTCTGGATTTTATGTGAAGATATAACCGTTTCAAACGAAGGCCACATAGTGCTCCAAATATCCACTTGCAGATCCTACAAAAAGAGTGTTTCAAACGTGAGCTATCGAAGGAAGGTTCAACTCTGGACTTTGAATGCAAACGTCCCAAAGAATTTTCTGCGAAAGCTTCTGTTTAGTTAGGTGACGTTATCCCGTTTCCAACGAAATCCTCAGAGAGGTCCAAATATCCACTTGCAGATGCTACAAAAAGTGTGTTTCAAAACTGCCCCATCCAAAGGAATGTTCAGCTCTGTGAGTTACACTCAATCATCACAAAGTATTTTCTGAGAATGCTTCTGTCCAGTTTTTACTCGAAGCTATTTCCTTTACTACCGTAGGCCACAAAGCGTTCCAAATCTCCACTTGCAGATACTACGAAAAGAGTGTTTCAACCTGAACTCACAAGGGACGGTTCAACTCTGTGAGTTGAATGCCAACATCACGAAGAAGTTCCTGACAATGCTTCTGTTTAGTTAGGTGAGGTTTATCCCGTTTCCAACGAAATCCTCAGAGAAGTCCAAATATCCACTTGCAGATCCTACGAAAAGTGTGTTTCGAAACTGCTCCATCCAAAGGAATGTTCAGCTCTGTGAGTTGAACTCAATCGTCACAAAGTGTTTCCTGAGAATGCATCTGTCTTGTTTTAGGATGAAGTTATTTCCTTTACGACGATAGGCCTCAAAGAGGTCCAAATCTCCACTTGCAGATTCTGCAGAAGGAGTGTTTCAAACCTGAACTATCAGAGAAAGGTTCAACACTGTGAGTTGAATGCAAGCATCACGAAGAAGGTTCTGAGAATGCTTCTGTTTAGATAGGTGAGTTTTCTCCCGTATCCAACGAAATCCTCAGAGAGGTCCAAATATCCACTTGCAGATTCTACAGAAAGTGTGTTTTGAAACTGCTCCATCCAAAGGAATGTTCAGCTCTGTGAGTTGAACTCAATCGTCACAAAGTGTTTCCTGGGAATGCTACTGTCTAGTTTTTATGGGCAGTTATATCCTCTGCTGCCATAGGCCTCAAAGCGGTCCAAATCTCCCCTTTCAGATTCTACCAAAAGTGTGTTTCCAAACGGCTCTATCAAAGGGAATGTTCAACTCTGTGACTTGAATGCAATCATCACAAAGCAGTTTCTGAGAATGCTTCCATGTAGCTTTTATGAGCAGATATTTCCTTTTCCACCCCAGGCCTCGAAGCCCTCCAAATGTCCCCTTGCAGATGCTAGAAAGAGAGGGTTTCAAAGCTGCTCTATCAAAAGGAAAGTACAACTCTGTGAGTTGAATGCAAACATCACAAAGAAGTTCCTGAGCATGCTTCCGTTTAGCTTTTATGGGAAGATTATCCCTTTTCCATCGAAATGTTCAAAGAGGTCCACATATCCGCTTGCAGATTCCACCGAAAGAGTGTTTCCAAACTGCTGTATCAAAAGGAATCTTCAACTCCGTGAGTTGAATGCAATCATCACAAAGAAGTTTCTGACAACGCTTCTCTCTAGTTTTTATGTGAAGATATTTCCTTTTCCACCACAGGCCTGAAAGCGCTCCAAATGTCCACTTGGAGACTCTACGAAAAGAATGTTTCAAAACTGCTCTATGAAAAGCAATGTTATACTCTGGGAGTTGAACACAAGCCTCACAAAGGAGTTTCTGAGAATGCTTCTGTTTACTTTTTACGTGAAGATATTCCCGTTTCCAAAGAAATCTTCAGAGACTTCCACCTATCCATTTGCAGATGCTTGAAAAAGAGAGTTTCAAAACTGCTCTATCAAAAGGAATGTTCAACTCTGTGAGTTGAATGCAGTCATCACAGAGAAGTTTCTGAGAAGGCTTCTGTCTAGATTTTATGTGAAGATATAACCGTTTCGAATGAAGGCCACAAAGGGCTCCAAATATCCACTTGCAGATCCTGCAAAAAGAGTGTTTCAAACGTGAACTATCAAAGGAAGGTTCAACTCTGGGCTTTGAATGCAAACATCACAAAGTAGTTTCTGCGAAACCTTCTGTTTAGTTAGGTGACGTTATCCCGTTTCCAACGAAATCCTCAGGAGAGGTCCAAATATCCACCTGCAGATTCTGCAAAAAGTGTGTTTCCAAACTGCTGCACCCAAAGGCATGTTCAGCTCTGTGAGTTAAACTCAATCATCACAAAGTATTTTCTGAGAATGCTTCTGTCCAGTTTTTACATGAAGCTGTTTCCTTTACTACCGTAGGTCTCAAAGCGTTCCAAATCTCCACTTGCAGATACTACGAAAAGGGCGTTTCAACCTGAACTCACAAGGGAAGGTTCAACTCTGTCAGTTGAATGCCAACATCACAAAGAAGTTCTGGGAATGTTTCTCTTCAGTTATGTGAGTTTTATCCCGTTTCCAATGAAATTCTCAGAGAAGTACAAATATCCACTTGCATATTCTACACAAAGTGTGTTTTGAAAGTGCTCCATCAAAAGATATGCTCAGCTCTGTGAGGTAAACTCAATCATCACAAAGAATTTTCTGAGAATGCTTCTGTCTTGTTTTAGGATGAAGTTATTTCCTTTACGACGATAGGCCTCAAAGAGGTCCAAATCTCCACTTGCAGATTCTGCAGAAGGAGTGTTTCAAACCTGAACTATCAGAGAAAGGTTCAACACTGTGAGTTGAATGCAAGCATCACGAAGAAGGTTCTGAGAATGCTTCTGTTTAGATAGGTGAGTTTTCTCCCGTATCCAACGAAATCCTCAGAGAGGTCCAAATATCCACTTGCAGATTCTACAGAAAGTGTGTTTTGAAACTGCTCCATCCAAAGGAATGTTCAGCTCTGTGAGTTGAACTCAGTCGTCACAAAGTGTTTCCTGGGAATGCTACTGTCTAGTTTTTATGGGCAGTTATATCCTCTGCTGCCATAGGCCTCAAAGCGGTCCAAATCTCCCCTTTCAGATTCTACCAAAAGTGTGTTTCCAAACGGCTCTATCAAAGGGAATGTTCAACTCTGTGACTTGAATGCAATCATCACAAAGCAGTTTCTGAGAATGCTTCCATCTAGCTTTTATGGGAAGATATTTCCTTTTCCACCACAGGCCGCGAAGCCCTCCAAATGTCCACTTGCAGGTTCTAGAAAGAGAGGGTTTCAAAGCGGCTCTATCTAAAGGAAAGTACAACTCTGTGAGTTGAATGCAAACATCACAAAGAAGTTTCTGAGAATGTTTCCGTTTAGCTTTTATGGGAAGATTATCCCTTTTCCATCGAAATCTTCAAAGAGGTCCAAATATCAGCTTGCAGATTCCACCGAAAGAGTGATTCCAAACTGCTGTATCAAAACGAATGTTCAACTCAGTGAGGTGAATGCAATCATCACAAAGAAGTTTCTGACAATGCTTCTCTCTAGTTTTTATGTGAAGATATTTCCTTTTCCACCGCAGGCCTGAAAGCGCTCAAAATGTCCACTTGCAGACCCTACGAAAGGAATGTTTCAAAACTGCTCTATGAAAAGCAATGTTATACTCTGGGAGTTGAACACAAGCCTCACAAAGGAGTTTCTGAAAATGCTTCTGTTTATTTTACGTGAAGATATTCCCGTTTGCAAAGAAGTCTTCACAGAGTTCCACCTATCCATTTGCAGATGCTAGAAAAAGAGAGTTTCAAAACTGCTCTATCAAAAGGACTGTTCAACTCTGTGAGTTGAATGCAATCATCACAGAGAAGTTTCTGAGAAGGCTTCTGTCTAGATTTTATGTGAAGATATACCCGTTTCGAACGAAGGCCACAAAGTGCTCCAAATATCCACTTGCAGGTCCTCCAACAAGAGTGTTTCAAACGTGAACTATCAAAGGAAGGTTCAACTCTGGACTTTGAATGCAAACGTCAGAAAGATGTTTCTGCGAAAGCTTCTGTTTAGTTAGGTGACGTTATCCCGTTTCCAACGAAATCCTCAGAGAGGTCCAAATATCCACCTGCAGATTCTGCAAAAAGTGTGTTTCCAAACTGCTCCACCCAAAGGCATGTTCAGCTCTGTGAGTTAAACTCAATCATCACAAAGTATTTTCTGAGAATGCTTCTGTCCAGTTTTTACATGAAGCTGTTTCCTTTACTACCGTAGGCCTCAAAGCGTTCCAAATCTCCACTTGCAGATACTACGAAAAGGGCGTTTCAACCTGAACTCACAAGGGAAGGTTCAACTCTGAGAGTTGAATGCCAACATCACAAAGAAGTTCTGGGAATGTTTCTCTTCAGTTATGTGAGTTTTATCCCGTTTCCAACGAAATTCTCAGAGAAGTACAAATATCCACTTGCATATTCTACACAAAGTGTGTTTTGAAAGTGCTCCATCAAAAGATATGCTCAGCTCTGTGAGGTAAACTCAATCATCACAAAGAATTTTCTGAGAATGCTTCTGTCTTGTTTTAGGATGAAGTTATTTCCTTTACGACGATAGGCCTCAAAGAGGTCCAAATCTCCACTTGCAGATTCTGCAGAAGGAGTGTTTCAAACCTGAACTATCAGAGAAAGGTTCAACACTGTGAGTTGAATGCAAGCATCACGAAGAAGGTTCTGAGAATGCTTCTGTTTAGATAGGTGAGTTTTCTCCCGTATCCAACGAAATCCTCAGAGAGGTCCAAATATCCACTTGCAGATTCTACAGAAAGTGTGTTTTGAAACTGCTCCATCCAAAGGAATGTTCAGCTCTGTGAGTTGAACTCAATCGTCACAAAGTGTTTCCTGGGAATGCTACTGTCTAGTTTTTATGTGCAGTTATATCCTCTGCTGCCATAGGCCTCAAAGCGGTCCAAATCTCCCCTTTCAGATTCTACCAAAAGTGTGTTTCCAAACGGCTCTATCAAAGGGAATGTTCAACTCTGTGACTTGAATGCAATCATCACAAAGCAGTTTCTGAGAATGCTTCCATGTAGCTTTTATGAGCAGATATTTCCTTTTCCACCCCAGGCCTGGAAGCCCTCCAAATGTCCCCTTGCAGATCCTAGAAAATGAGGGTTTCAAAGCTGCTCTATCAAAAGGAAAGTACAACTCTGTGAGTTGAATGCAAACATCACAAAGAAGTTCCTGAGCATGCTTCCGTTTAGCTTTTATGGGAAGATTATCCCTTTTCCATCGAAATATTCAAAGAGGTCCACATATCCGCTTGCAGATTCCACCGAAAGAGTGTTTCCAAATTGCTGTATCGAAAGGAATCTTCAACTCCGTGAGTTAAATGCAATCATCACAAAGAAGTTTCTGACAATGCTTCTCTCTAGTTTGTATGTGAAGATATTTCCTTTTCCACCACAGGCCTGAAAGCGCTCCAAATGTCCACTTGGAGACTCTACGAAAAGAATGTTTCAAAACTGCTCTATGAAAAGCAATGTTATACTCTGGGAGTTGAACACAAGCCTCACAAAGGAGTTTCTGAGAATGCTTCTGTTTACTTTTTACGTGAAGATATTCCCGTTTCCAAAGAAATCTTCACAGGCTTCCACCTATCCATTTGCAGATGCTAGAAAAAGAGAGTTTCAAAACTGCTCTATCAAAAGGAATGTTCAACTCTGTGAGTTGAATGCAGTCATCACAGAGAAGTTTCTGAGAAGGCTTCTGTCTAGATTTTATGTGAAGATATACCCGTTTCGAACAAAGGCCACAAAGTGCTCCAAATATCCACTTGCAGGTCCTCCTACAAGAGTGTTTCAAACGTGAACTATCAAAGGAAGGTTCAACTCTGGACTTTGAATGCAAACGTCAGAAAGATGTTTCTGCGAAAGCTTCTGTTTAGTTAGGTGACGTTATCCCGTTTCCAACGAAATCCTCAGAGAGGTCCAAATATCCACCTGCAGATTCTGCAAAAAGTGTGTTTCCAAACTGCTCCACCCAAAGGCATGTTCAGCTCTGTGAGTTAAACTCAATCATCACAAAGTATTTTCTGAGAATGCTTCTGTCCAGTTTTTACATGAAGCTGTTTCCTTTACTACCGTAGGCCTCAAAGCGTTCCAAATCTCCACTTGCAGATACTACGAAAAGGGCGTTTCAACCTGAACTCACAAGGGAAGGTTCAACTCTGTCAGTTGAATGCCAACATCACAAAGAAGTTCTGGGAATGTTTCTCTTCAGTTATGTGAGTTTTATCCCGTTTCCAACGAAATTCTCAGAGAAGTACAAATATCCACTTGCATATTCTACACAAAGTGTGTTTTGAAAGTGCTCCATCAAAAGATATGCTCAGCTCTGTGAGTTAAACTCAATCATCACAAAGAATTTTCTGAGAATGCTTCTGTCTTGTTTTAGGATGAAGTTATTTCCTTTACGACGATAGGCCTCAAAGAGGTCCAAATCTCCACTTGCAGATTCTGCAGAAGGAGTGTTTCAAACCTGAACTATCAGAGAAAGGTTCAACACTGTGAGTTGAATGCAAGCATCACGAAGAAGGTTCTGAGAATGGTTCACTTTAGATAAGTGAGTTTTCTCCCTTATCCAACGAAATCCTCAGAGAGGTCCAAATATCCACTTGCAGATTCTACAGAAAGTTTGTTTTGAAACTGCTCCATCCAAAGGAATGTTCAGCTGTGTGAGTTGAACTCAATCGTCACAAAGTGTTTCCTGGGAATGCTACTGTCTAGTTTTTATGTGCAGTTATATCCTCTGCTGCCATAGGCCTCAAAGCGGTCCAAATCTCACCTTTCAGATTCTACCAAAAGTGTGTTTCCAAACGGCTCTATCAAAGGGAATGTTCAACTCTGTGACTTGAATGCAATCATCACAAAGCAGTTTCTGAGAATGCTTCCATGTAGCTTTGATGAGAAGATATTTCCTTTTCCACCCCAGGCCTCGAAGCCCTCCAAATGTCCCCTTGCAGATGCTAGAAAGAGAGGGTTTCAAAGCTGCTCTATCAAAAGGAAAGTACAACTCTGTGAGTTGAATGCAAACTTCACAAAGAAGTTCCTGAGCATGCTTCCGTTTAGCTTTTATGGGAAGATTATCCATTTTCCATCGAAATGTTCAAAGAGGTCCACATATCCGCTTGCAGATTCCACCGAAAGAGTGTTTCCAAACTGCTGTATCAAAAGGAATCCTCAACTCCGTGAGTTGAATGCAATCATCACCAAGAAGTTTCTGACAATGCTTCTCTCTAGTTTTTATGTGAAGATATTTCCTATTCCACCACAGGCCTGAAAGCCCTCCAAATGTCCACTTGGAGGCTCTACGAAAAGAAAGTTTCAAAACTGCTCTATGAAAAGCAATGTTATACTCTGGGAGTTGAACACAAGCCTCACAAAGGAGTTTCTGAGAATGCTTCTGTTTACTTTTTACGTGAGGATATTCCCGTTTCCAAAGAAATCTTCACAGAGTTCTACCTATCCATTTGCAGATGCTAGAAAAAGAGAGTTTCAAAACTGCTCTATCAAAAGGAATGTTCAACTCTGTGAGTTGCATGCAATCATCACAGAGAAGTTTCTGAGAAGGCTTCTGTCTAGATTTTATGTGAAGATATAGCCGTTTCGAACGAAGGCCACAAAGTGCTCCAAATATCCACTTGCAGGTCCTCCAAAAAGAGTGTTTCAAACGTGAACTACCAAAGGAAGGCTCCACTCTGGACTTTGAATGCAAACGTCAGAAAGATTTTTCTGCGAAAGCTTCTGTTTAGTTAGGTGACGTTATCCCGTTTCCAACGAAATCCTCAGAGAGGTCCAAATATCCACCTGCAGATTCTGCAAAAAGTGTGTTTCCAAACTGCTCCACCCAAAGGCATGTTCAGCTCTGTGAGTTAAACTCAATCATCACAAAGTATTTTCTGAGAATGCTTCTGTCCAGTTTTTACATGAAGCTGTTTCCTTTACTACCGTAGGCCTCAAAGCGTTCCAAATCTCCACTTGCAGATACTACGAAAAGAGCGTTTCAACCTGAACTCACAAGGGAAGGTTCAACTCTGTCAGTTGAATGCCAACACCACAAAGAAGTTCTGGGAATGTTTCTCTTCAGTTATGTGAGTTTTATCCCGTTTCCAACGAAATTCTCAGAGAAGTACAAATATCCACTTGCATATTCTACAAAAAGTGTGTTTTGAAAATGCTCCATCAAAAGATATGCTCAGCTCTGTGAGTTAAACTCAATCATCACAAAGAATTTTCTGAGAATGCTTCTGTCTTGTTTTAGGATGAAGTTATTTCCTTTACGACGATAGGCCTCAAAGAGGTCCAAATCTCCACTTGCAGATTCTGCAGAAGGAGTGTTTCAAACCTGAACTATCAGAGAAAGGTTCAACACTGTGAGTTGAATGCAAGCATCACGAAGAAGGTTCTGAGAATGCTTCTGTTTAGATAGGTGAGTTTTCTCCCGTATCCAACGAAATCCTCAGAGAGGTCCAAATATCCCCTTGCAGATTCTACAGAAAGTGTGTTTTGAAACTGCTCCATCCAAAGGAATGTTCAGCTCTGTGAGTTGAACTCAATCGTCACAAAGTGTTTCCTGGGAATGCTACTGTCTAGTTTTTATGGGCAGTTATATCCTCTGCTGCCATAGGCCTCAAAGCGGTCCAAATCTCCCCTTTCAGATTCTACCAAAAGTGTGTTTCCAAACGGCTCTATCAAAGGGAATGTTCAACTCTGTGACTTGAATGCAATCATCACAAAGCAGTTTCTGAGAATGCTTCCATGTAGCTTTTATGAGCAGATATTTCCTTTTCCACCCCAGGCCTCGAAGCCCTCCAAATGTCCCCTTGCAGATGCTAGAAAGAGAGGGTTTCAAAGCTGCTCTATCAAAAGGAAAGTACAACTCTGTGAGTTGAATGCAAACATCACAAAGAAGTTCCTGAGCATGCTTCCGTTTAGCTTTTATGGGAAGATTATCCCTTTTCCATCGAAATGTTCAAAGAGGTCCACATATCCGCTTGCAGATTCCACCGAAAGAGTGTTTCCAAACTGCTGTATCGAAAGGAATCTTCAACTCCGTCAGTTGAATGCAATCATCACAAAGAAGTTTCTGACAATGCTTCTCTCTAGTTTTTATGTGAAGATATTTCCTTTTCCACCACAGGCCTGAAAGCGCTCCAAATGTCCACTTGGAGACTCTACGAAAAGAATGTTTCAAAACTGCTCTATGAAAAGCAATGTTATACTCTGGGAGATGAACACAAGCCTCACAAAGGAGTTTCTGAGAATGCTTCTGTTTACTTTTTACGTGAAGATATTCCCGTTTCCAAAGAAATCTTCACAGAGTTCCACCTATCCATTTGTAGATGCTAGAAAAAGAGAGTTTCAAAACTGCTCTATCAAAAGGAATGTTCAACTCTGTGAGTTGAATGCAATCATCACAGAGAAGTTTCTGAGAAGGCTTCTGTCTAGACTTTATGTGAAGATATACCCGTTTCGAACGAGGGCCACAAAGTGCTCCAAATATCCACTTGCAGGTCCTCCAACAAGAGTGTTTCATACGTGAACTATCAAAGGAAGGTTCAACTCTGGACTTTGAATGCAAACGTCAGAAAGATGTTTCTGCGAAAGCTTCTGTTTAGTTAGGTGATGTTATCCCGTTTCCAACGAAATCCTCAGAGAGGTCCAAATATCCACCTGCAGATTCTGCAAAAAGTGTGTTTCCAAACTGCTCCACCCAAAGGTATGTTCAGCTCTGTGAGTTAAACTCAATCATCACAAAGTATTTTCTGAGAAAGCTTCTGTCCAGTTTTTACATGAAGCTGTTTCCTTTACTACCGTAGGCCTCAAAGCGTTCCAAATCTACACTTGCAGATACTACGAAAAGAGCGTTTCAACCTGAACTCACGAGGGAAGGTTCAACTCTGTCAGTTGAATGCCAACATCACAAAGAAGTTCTGGGAATGTTTCTCTTCAGTTATGTGAGTTTTATCCCGTTTCCAACGAAATTCTCAGAGAAGTACAAATATCCACTTGCATATTCTACAAAAAGTGTGTTTTGAAAGTGCTCCATCAAAAGATATGCTCAGCTCTGTGAGTTAAACTCAATCATCACAAAGAATTTTCTGAGAATGCTTCTGTCTTGTTTTAGGATGAAGTTATTTCCTTTACGACGATAGGCCTCAAAGAGGTCCAAATCTCCACTTGCAGATTCTGCAGAAGGAGTGTTTCAAACCTGAACTATCAGAGAAAGTTTCAGCACTGTGAGTTGAATGCAAGCATCACGAAGAAGGTTCTGAGAATGCCTCTGTTTAGATAGGTGAGTTTTCTCCCGTATCCAACGAAATCCTCAGAGAGGTCCAAATATCCACTTGCAGATTCTACAGAAAGTGTGTTTTGAAACTGCTCCATCCAAAGGAATGTTCAGCTCTGTGAGTTGAACTCAATCATCACAAAGTGTTTCCTGGGAATGCTACTGTCTAGTTTTTATGGGCAGTTATATCCTCTGCTGCCATAGGCCTCAAAGCGGTCCAAATCTCCCCTTTCAGATTCTACCAAAAGTGTGTTTCCAAACGGCTCTATCAAAGGGAATGTTCAACTCTGTGACTTGAATGCAATCATCACAAAGCAGTTTCTGAGAATGCTTCCATGTAGCTTTTATGAGCAGATATTTCCTTTTCCACCCCAGGCCTCGAAGCCCTCCAAATGTCCCCTGGCAGATGCTAGAAAGAGAGGGTTTCAAAGCTGCTCTATCAAAAGGAAAGGACAACTCTGTGAGTTGAATGCAAACATCACAAAGAAGTTCCTGAGCATGCTTCCGTTTAGCTTTTATGGGAAGATTATCCCTTTTCCATCGAAATGTTCAAAGAGGTCCACATATCCGCTTGCAGATTCCACCGAAAGAGCGTTTCCAAACTGCTGTATCAAAAGGAATCTTCAACTACGTGAGTTGAATGCAATCATCACAAAGAAGTTTCTGACAACGCTTCTCTCTAGTTTTTATGTGAAGATATTTCCTTTTCCACCACAGGCCTGAAAGCGCTCCAAATGTCCACTTGGAGACTCTACGAAAAGAATGTTTCAAAACTGCTCTATGAAAAGCAATGTTATACTCTGGGAGTTGAACACAAGCCTCACAAAGGAGTTTCTGAGAATGCTTCTGTTTACTTTTTACGTGAAGATATTCCCGTTTCCAAAGAAATCTTCACAGAGTTCCACCTATCCATTTGCAGATGCTAGAAAAAGAGAGTTTCAAAACTGCTCTATCAAAAGGAATTCTCAACTCTGTGATTTGAATGCAGTCATCACAGAGAAGTTTCTGAGAAGGCTTCTGTCTAGATTTTTTGTGAAGATATACCCGTTTCGAACGAAGACCGCAAAATGCTCCAAATATCCACTTGCAGGTCCTCCAACAAGAGTGTTTCAAACGTGAACTATCAAAGGAAGGTTCAACTCTGGACTTTGAATGCAAACGTCAGAAAGATGTTTCTGCGAAAGCTTCTGTTTAGTTAGGTGACGTTATCCCGTTTCCAACGAAATCCTCAGAGAGGTCCAAATATCCACCTGCAGATTCTGCAAAAAGTGTGTTTCCAAACTGCTCCACCCAAAGGAATGTTCAGCTCTGTGAGTTAAACTCAATCATCACAAAGTATTTTCTGAGAATGCTTCTGTCCACTTTTTACATGAAGCTGTTTCCTTTACTACCGTAGGCCTCAAAGCGTTCCAAATCTCCACTTGCAGATACTACGAAAAGAGCATTTCAACCTGAACTCACAAGGGAATGTTCAACTCTGTCAGTTGAATGCCAACGTCACAAAGAAGTTCTGGGAATGTTTCTCTTCAGTTATGTGAGTTTTATCCCGTTTCCAACGAAATTCTCAGAGAAGTACAAATATCCACTTGCATATTCTACAAAAAGTGTGTTTTGAAAATGCTCCATCAAAAGATATGCTCAGCTCTGTGAGTTAAACTCAATCATCACAAAGAATTTTCTGAGAATGCTTCTGTCTTGTCATAGGATGAAGTTATTTCCTTTACGACGATAGGCCTCAAAGAGGTCCAAATCTCCACTTGCAGATTCTGCAGAAGGAGTGTTTCAAACCTGAACTATCAGAGAAAGGTTCAACACTGTGAGTTGAATGCAAGCATCACGAAGAAGGTTCTGAGAATGCTTCTGTTTAGATAGGTGAGTTTTCTCCCGTATCCAACGAAATCCTCAGAGAGGTCCAAATATCCACTTGCAGATTCTACAGAAAGTGTGTTTTGAAACTGCTCCATCCAAAGGAATGTTCAGCTGTGTGAGTTGAACTCAATCGTCACAAAGTGTTTCCTGGGAATGCTACTGTCTTGTTTTTATGGGCAGTTATATCCTCTGCTGCCATAGGCCTCAAAGCGGTCCAAATCTCCCTTTTCAGATTCTACCAAAAGTGTGTTTCCAAACGGCTCTATCAAAGGGAATGTTCAACTCTGTGACTTGAATGCAATCATCACAAAGCAGTTTCTGAGAATGCTTCCATGTAGCTTTTATGAGCAGATATTTCCTTTTCCACCCCAGGCCTCGAAGCCCTCCAAATGTCCCCTTGCAGATGCTAGAAAGAGAGGGTTTCAAAGCTGCTCTATCAAAAGGAAAGTACAACTCTGTGAGTTGAATGCAAACATCACAAAGAAGTTCCTGAGCATGCTTCCGTTTAGCTTTCATGGGAAGATTATCCCTTTTCCATCGAAATGTTCAAAGAGGTCCACATATCCGCTTGCAGATTCCACCGAAAGAGTGTTTCCAAACTGCTGTATCAAAAGGAATCGTCAACTCCGTGAGTTGAATGCAATCATCACAAAGAAGTTTCTGACAACGCTTCTCTCTAGTTTTTATGTGAAGATATTTCCTTTTCAACCACAGGCCTGAAAGCGCTCCAAATGTCCACTTGGAGACTCTACGAAAAGAATGTTTCAAAACTGCTCTATGAAAAGCAATGTTATACTCTGGGAGTTGAACACAAGCCTCACAAAGGAGTTTCTGAGAATGCTTCTGTTTACTTTTTACGTGAAGATATTCCCGTTTCCAAAGAAATCTTCACAGACTTCCACCTATCCATTTGCAGATGCTAGAAAAAGAGAGTTTCAAAACTGCTCTATCAAAAGGAATGTTCAACTCTGTGAGTTGAATGCAGTCATCACAGAGAAGTTTCTGAGAAGGCTTCTGTCTAGATTTTATGTGAAGATATACCCGTTTCGAACGAAGGCCACAAAGTGCTCCAAATATCCACTTGCAGGTCCTCCAACAAGAGTGTTTCAAACGTGAACTATCAAAGGAAGGTTCAACTCTGGACTTTGAATGCAAACGTCAGAAAGATGTTTCTGCGAAAGCTTCTGTTTAGTTAGGTGACGTTATCCCGTTTCCAACGAAATCCTCAGAGAGGTCCAAATATCCACCTGCAGATTCTGCAAAAAGTGTGTTTCCAAACTGCTCCACCCAAAGGCATGTTCAGCTCTGTGAGTTAAACTCAATCATCACAAAGTATTTTCTGAGAATGCTTCTGTCCAGTTTTTACATGAAGCTGTTTCCTTTACTACCGTAGGCCTCAAAGCGTTCCAAATCTCCACTTGCAGATACTACGAAAAGGGCGTTTCAACCTGAACTCACAAGGGAAGGTTCAACTCTGAGAGTTGAATGCCAACATCACAAAGAAGTTCTGGGAATGTTACTCTTCAGTTATGTGAGTTTTATCCCGTTTCCAACGAAATTCTCAGAGAAGTACAAATATCCACTTGCATATTCTACAAAAAGTGTGTTTTGAAAATGCTCCATCAAAAGATATGCTCAGCTCTGTGAGTTAAACTCAATCATCACAAAGAATTTTCTGAGTATGCTTCTGTCTTGTTTTAGGATGAAGTTATTTCCTTTACGACGATAGGCCTCAAAGAGGTCCAAATCTCCACTTGCAGATTCTGCAGAAGGAGTGTTTCAAACCTGAACTATCAGAGAAAGGTTCAACACTGTGAGTTGAATGCAAGCATCACGAAGAGGGTTCTGAGAATGCTTCTGTTTAGATAAGTGAGTTTTCTCCCGTATCCAACGAAATCCTCAGAGAGGTCCAAATATCCACTTGCAGATTCTACAGAAAGTGTGTTTTGAAACTGCTCCATCCAAAGCAATGTTCAGCTGTGTGAGTTGAACTCCATCGTCACAAAGTGTTTCCTTGGAATGCTACTGTCTAGTTTTTATGTGCAGTTATATCCTCTGCTGCCATAGGCCTCAAAGCGGTCCAAGTCTCCCCTTTCAGATTCTACCAAAAGTGTGTTTCCAAACGGCTCTATCAAAGGGAATGTTCAACTGTGTGACTTGAATGCAATCATCACAAAGCAGTTTCTGAGAATGCTTCCATGTAGCTTTTATGAGCAGATATTTCCTTTTCCACCCCAGGCCTCGAAGCCCTCCAAATGTCCCCTTGCAGATGCTAGAAAGAGAGGGTTTCAAAGCTGCTCTATCAAAAGGA
This sequence comes from Homo sapiens, assembly GCF_000001405.40. Taxonomy (NCBI): domain Eukaryota; kingdom Metazoa; phylum Chordata; class Mammalia; order Primates; family Hominidae; genus Homo; species Homo sapiens. The sequence goes on along the minus strand of NC_000001.11, from coordinate 122,390,504 downwards.
AAGTACAACTGTGTGAGTTGAATGCAAACATCACAAAGAGGTTCCTGAGCATGCTTCCGTTTAGCTTTCATGGGAAGATTATCCCTTTTCCATCGAAATGTTCAAAGAGGTCCACATATCCGCTTGCAGATTCCACCGAAAGAGTGTTTCCAAACTGCTGTATCAAAAGGAATCTTCAACTCCGTGAGTTGAATGCAATCATCACAAAGAAGTTTCTGACAATGCTTCTCTCTAGTTTTCATGTGAAGATATTTCCTTTGCCACCACAGGCCTGAAAGCACTCCAAATGTGCACTTGGAGACTCTACGAAAAGAATGTTTCAAAACTGCTCTATGAAAAGCAATGTTATACTCTGGGAGATGAACACAAGCCTCACAAAGGAGTTTCTGAGAATGCTTCTGTTTACTTTTTACGTGAAGATATTCCCGTTTCCAAAGAAATCTTCACAGAGTTCCACCTATCCATTTGCAGATGCTAGAAAAAGAGAGTTTGAAAACTGCTCTATCAAAAGGAATGTTCAACTCTGTGAGTTGAATGCAATCATCACAGAGAAGTTTCTGAGAAGGCTTCTGTCTAGATTTTATGTGAAGATATAGCCGTTTCGAACAAACGCCACAAAGTGCTCCAAATATCCACTTGCAGGTCCTCCAACAAGAGTGTTTCAAACGTGAACTATCAAAGGAAGGTTCAACTCTGGACTTTGAATGCAAACGTCAGAAAGATGTTTCTGCGAAAGCTTCTGTTTAGTTAGGTGACGTTATCCCGTTTCCAACGAAATCCTCAGAGAGGTCCAAATATCCACCTGCAGATTCTGCAAAAAGTGTGTTTCCAAACTGCTCCACCCAAAGGCATGTTCAGCTCTGTGAGTTAAACTCAATCATCACAAAGTATTTTCTGAGAATGCTTCTGTCCAGTTTTTACATGAAGCTGTTTCCTTTACTACCGTAGGCCTCAAAGCGTTCCAAATCTCCACTTGCAGATACTACGAAAAGGGCGTTTCAACCTGAACTCACAAGGGAAGGTTCAACTCTGTCAGTTGAATGCCAACATCACAAAGAAGTTCTGGGAATGTTTCTCTTCAGTTATGTGAGTTTTATCCCGTTTCCAACGAAATTCTCAGAGAAGTACAAATATCCACTTGCATATTCTACAAAAAGTGTGTTTTGAAAGTGCTCCATCAAAAGATATGCTCAGCTCTGTGAGTTAAACTCAATCATCACAAAGAATTTTCTGAGAATGCTTCTGTCTTGTTTTAGGATGAAGTTATTTCCTTTACGACGATAGGCCTCAAAGAGGTCCAAATCTCCACTTGCAGATTCTGCAGAAGGAGTGTTTCAAACCTGAACTATCAGAGAAAGGTTCAACACTGTGAGTTGAATGCAAGCATCACGAAGAAGGTTCTGAGAATGCTTCTGTTTAGATAGGTGAGTTTTCTCCCGTATCCAACGAAATCCTCAGAGAGGTCCAAATATCCACTTGCAGATTCTACAGAAAGTGTGTTTTGAAACTGCTCCATCCAAAGGAATGTTCAGCTCTGTGAGTTGAACTCAATCGTCACAAAGTGTTTCCTGGGAATGCTACTGTCTAGTTTTTATGGGCAGTTATATCCTCTGCTGCCATAGGCCTCAAAGCGGTCCAAATCTCCCCTTTCAGATTCTACCAAAAGTGTGTTTCCAAACGGCTCTATCAAAGGGAATGTTCAACTCTGTGACTTGAATGCAATCATCACAAAGCAGTTTCTGAGAATGCTTCCATGTAGCTTTTATGAGCAGATATTTCCTTTTCCACCCCAGGCCTCGAAGCCCTCCAAATGTCCCCTTGCAGATGCTAGAAAGAGAGGGTTTCAAAGCTGCTCTATCAAAAGGAAAGTACAACTCTGTGAGTTGAAGGCAAACATCACAAAGAAGTTCCTGAGCATGCTTCCGTTTAGCTTTTATGGGAAGATTATCCCTTTTCCATCGAAATGTTCAAAGAGGTCCACATATCCGCTTGCAGATTCCACCGAAAGAGTGTTTCCAAACTGCTGTTTCAAAAGGAATCTTCAACTCCGTGAGTTGAATGCAATCATCACAAAGAAGTTTCTGACAACCGCTTCTCTCTAGTTTTTATGTGAAGATATTTCCTTTTCCACCACAGGCCTGAAAGCGCTCCAAATGTCCACTTGGAGACTCTACGAAAAGAATGTTTCAAAACTGCTCTATGAAAAGCAATGTTATACTCTGGGAGTTGAACACAAGCCTCACAAAGGAGTTTCTGAGAATGCTTCTGTTTACTTTTTACGTGAAGATATTCCCGTTTCCAAAGAAATCTTCACAGACTTCCACCTATCCATTTGCAGATGCTAGAAAAAGAGAGTTTCAAAACTGCTCTATCAAAAGGAATGTTCAACTCTGTGAGTTGAATGCAGTCATCACAGAGAAGTTTCTGAGAAGGCTTCTGTCTAGATTTTATGTGAAGATATACCCGTTTCGAACGAAGGCCACAAAGTGCTCCAAATATCCACTTGCAGGTCCTCCAACAAGAGTGTTTCAAACGTGAACTATCAAAGGAAGGTTCAACTCTGGACTTTGAATGCAAACGTCAGAAAGATGTTTCTGCAAAAGCTTCTGTTTAGTTAGGTGACGTTATCCCGTTTCCAACGAAATCCTCAGAGAGGTCCAAATATCCACCTGCAGATTCTGCAAAAAGTGTGTTTCCAAACTGCTCCACCCAAAGGCATGTTCAGCTCTGTGAGTTAAACTCAATCATCACAAAGTATTTTCTGAGAATGCTTCTGTCCAGTTTTTACATGAAGCTGTTTCCTTTACTACCGTAGGCCTCAAAGCGTTCCAAATCTCCACTTGCAGATACTACGAAAAGGGCGTTTCAACCTGAACTCACAAGGGAAGGTTCAACTCTGTCAGTTGAATGCCAACATCACAAAGAAGTTGCTGGGAATGTTTCTGTTTAGTTAGGTGAGGTTTATCCCGTTTCCAACGAAATCCTCAGAGAAGTCCAAATATCCACTTGCAGATCCTACAAAAAGTGTGTTTCGAAACTGCTCCATCCAAAGGAATGTTCAGCTCTGTGAGTTGAACTCAATCGTCACAAAGTGTTTCCTGAGAATGCTGCTGTCTAGTTTTTATGGGCAGTGATTTCCTCTACTGCCATAGGCCTCAAAGCGGTCCAAATCTCCCCTTGCAGATTCTACCAAAAGTGTGTTTCCAAACGGCTCTATCAAAGGGAATGTTCAACTCTGTGACCTGAAAGCAATCATCACAAAGTAGTTTCTGAGAATGCTTCCATCTAGCTTTTATGAGTAGATATTTCCTTTTCCACCACAGGCCTCGAAGCCCTCCAAATGTCCACTTGCAGATTCTAGAAAGAGAGGGTTTCAAAGCTGCTCTATCAAAAGGAAAGTACAACTCTGGGAGTTGAATGCAAACATCACAAAGAAGTCTCTGAGCATGCTACTGTCTACTTTTTATGGGCAGTTATATCCTCTGCTGCCATAGGCCTCAAAGCGGTCCAAATCTCCCCTTTCAGATTCTACCAAAAGTGTGTTTCTAAACGGCTCTATCAAAGGGAATGTTCAACTCTGTGACTTGAATGCAATCATCACAAAGCAGTTTCTGAGAATGCTTCCATGTAGCTTTAATGAGCAGATATTTCCTTTTCCACCCCAGGCCTCGAAGCCCTCCAAATGTCCCCTTGCAGATGCTAGAAAGAGAGGGTTTCAAAGCTGCTCTATCAAAAGGAAAGTACAACTCTGTGAGTTGAATGCAAACATCACAAAGAAGTTCCTGAGCATGCTTCCGTTTAGCTTTCATGGGAAGATTATCCCTTTTCCATCGAAATGTTCAAAGAGGTCCACATATCCGCTTGCAGATTCCACCGAAAGAGTGTTTCCAAACTGCTGTATCAAAAGGAATCTTCAACTCCTTTAGTTGAATGCAATCATCACAAAGAAGTTTCTGACAATGCTTCTCTCTAGTTTTTATGTGAAGATATTTCCTTTTCCACCACAGGCCTGAAAGCTCTCCAAATGTCCACTTGGAGACTCTACGAAAAGAATGTTTCAAAACTGCTCTATGAAAAGCAATGTTATACTCTGGGAGTTGAACACAAGCCTCACAAAGGACTTTCTGAGAATGCTTCTGTTTACTTTTTACGTGAAGATATTCCCGTTTCCAAAGAAATCTTCACAGACTTCCACCTATCCATTTGCAGATGCTAGAAAAAGAGAGTTTCAAAACTGCTCTATCAAAAGGAATGTTCAACTCTGTGAGTTGAATGCAGTCATCACAGAGAAGTTTCTGAGAAGGCTTCTGGCTAGATTTTATGTGAAGATATACCCGTTTCGAACAAAGGCCACAAAGTGCTCCAAATATCCTCTTGCGGGTCCTCCAACAAGAGTGTTTCAAACGTGAACTATCAAAGGAAGGTTCAACTCTGGACTTTGAATGCAAACGTCAGAAAGATGTTTCTGCGAAAGCTTCTGTTTAGTTAGGTGACGTTATCCCGTTTCCAACGAAATCCTCAGAGAGGTCCAAATATCCACCTGCAGATTCTGCAAAAAGTGTGTTTCCAAACTGCTCCACCCAAAGGCATGTTCAGCTCTGTGAGTTAAACTCAATCATCACAAAGTATTTTCTGAGAATGCTTCTGTCCAGTTTTTACATGAAGCTGTTTCGTTTACTACCATAGGCCTCAAAGCATTCCAAATCTCCACTTGAAGATAGTACGAAAAGAGCGTTTCAACCTGAACTCACAAGGGAAGGTTCAACTCTGTCAGTTGAATGCCAACATCACAAAGAAGTTCTGAGAGTGTTTCTCTTCAGTTATGTGAGTTTTATCCCGTTTCCAACGAAATTCTCAGAGAAGTACAAATATCCACTTGCATATTCGACAAAAAGTGTGTTTTGAAAGTGCTCCATCAAAAGATATGTTCAGCTCTGTGAGTTAAACTCAATCATCACAAAGAATTTTCTGAGAATGCTTCTGTCTTGTTTTAGGATGAAGTTATTTCCTTTACGACGATAGGCCTCAAAGAGGTCCAAATCTCCACTTGCAGATTCTGCAGAAGGAGTGTTTCAAACCTGAACTATCAGAGAAAGGTTCAACACTGTGAGTTGAATGCAAGCATTACGAAGAAGGTTCTGAGAATGCCTCTGTTTAGATAGGTGAGTTTTCTCCCGTATCCAACGAAATCCTCAGAGAGGTCCAAATATCCACTTGCAGATTCTACAGAAAGTGTGTTTTGAAACTGCTCCATCCAAAGGAATGTTCAGCTCTGTGAGTTGAACTCAATCGTCACAAATTGTTTCCTGGGAATGCTACTGTCTAGTTTTTATGGGCAGTTATATCCTCTGCTGCCATAGGCCTCAAAGCGGTCCAAATCTCCCCTTTCAGATTCTACCAAAAGTGTGTTTCCAAACGGCTCTATCAAAGGGAATGTTCAACTCTGTGACTTGAATGCAATCATCACAAAGCAGTTTCTGAGAATGCTTCCATGTAGCTTTTATGAGCAGATATTTCCTTTTCCACCCCAGGCCTCGAAGCCCTCCAAATGTCCCCTTGCAGATGCTAGAAAGAGAGGGTTTCAAAGCTGCTCTATCAAAAGGAAAGTACAACTCTGTGAGTTGAATGCAAACATCACAAAAAGTTCCTGAGCATGCTTCCGTTTATCTTTTATGGGAAGATTATCCCTTTTCCATCGAAATGTTCAAAGAGGTCCACATATCCGCTTGCAGATTCCACCGAAATAGTGTTTCCAAACTGCTGTATCAAAAGGAATCTTCAACTCCGTGAGTTGAATGCAATCATCACAAAGAAGTTTCTGACAACGCTTCTCTCTAGTTTTTATATGAAGATATTTCCTTTTCCACCACAGGCCTGAAAGCGCTCCAAATGTCCACTTGGAGACTCTACGAAAAGAATGTTTCAAAACTGCTCTATGAAAAGCAATGTTATACTCTGGGAGTTGAACACAAGCCTCACAAAGGAGTTTCTGAGAATGCTTCTGTTTACTTTTTACGTGAAGATATTCCCGTTTCCAAAGAAATCTTCACAGAGTTCCACCTATCCATTTGCAGATGCTAGAAAAAGAGAGTTTCAAAACTGCTCTATCAAAAGGAATGTTCAACTCTGTGAGTTGAATGCAGTCATCACAGAGAAGTTTCTGAGAAGGCTTCTGTCTAGACTTTATGTGAAGATATACCCGTTTCGAACGAGGGCCACAAAGTGCTCCAAATGTCCACTTGCAGGTCCTCCAACAAGAGTGTTTCATACGTGAACTATCAAAGGAAGGTTCAACTCTGGACTTTGAATGCAAACGTCAGAAAGATGTTTCTGCGAAAGCTTCTGTTTAGTTAGGTGACGTTATCCCGTTTCCAACGAAATCCTCAGAGAGGTCCAAATATCCACCTGCAGATTCTGCAAAAAGTGTGTTTCCAAACTGCTCCACCCAAAGGCATGTTCAGCTCTGTGAGTTAAACTCAATCATCACAAAGTATTTTCTGAGAATGCTTCTGTCCAGTTTTTACATGAAGCTGTTTCCTTTACTACCGTAGGCCTCAAAGCGTTCCAAATCTCCACTTGCAGATACTACGAAAAGGGCGTTTCAACCTGAACTCACAAGGGAAGGTTCAACTCTGAGAGTTGAATGCCAACATCACAAAGAAGTTCTGGGAATGTTTCTCTTCAGTTATGTGAGTTTTATCCCGTTTCCAACGAAATTCTCAGAGAAGTACAAATATCCACTTGCATATTCTACAAAAAGTGTGTTTTGAAAGTGCTCCATCAAAAGATATGCTCAGCTCTGTGAGTTAAACTTAATCATCACAAAGAATTTTCTGAGAATGCTTCTGTCTTGTTTTAGGATGAAGTTATTTCCTTTACGACGATAGGCCTCAAAGAGGTCCAAATCTCCACTTGCAGATTCTGCAGAAGGAGTGTTTCAAACCTGAACTATCAGAGAAAGGTTCAACACTGTGAGTTGAATGCAAGCATCACGAAGAAGGTTCTGAGAATGCTTCTGTTTAGATAGGTGAGTTTTCTCCCGTATCCAACGAAATCCTCAGAGAGGTCCAAATATCCACTTGCAGATTCCACAGAAAGTGTGTTTTGAAACTGCTCCATCCAAAGGAATGTTCAGCTCTGTGAGTTGAACTCAATCGTCACAAAGTGTTTCCTGAGAATGCTACTGTCTAGTTTTTATGGGCAGTTATATCCTCTGCTGCCATAGGCCTCAAAGCGGTCCAAATCTCCCCTTTCAGATTCTACCAAAAGTGTGTTTCCAAACGGCTCTATCAAAGGGAATGTTCAACTCTGTGACTTGAATGCAATCATCACAAAGCAGTTTCTGAGAATGCTTCCATGTAGCTTTAATGAGCAGATATTTCCTTTTCCACCCCAGGCCTCGAAGCCCTCCAAATGTCCCCTTGCAGATGCTAGAAAGAGAGGGTTTCAAAGCTGCTCTATCAAAAGGAAAGTACAACTCTGTGAGTTGAATGCAAACATCACAAAGAAGCTCCTGAGCATGCTTCCGTTTAGCTTTCATGGGAAGATTATCCCTTTTCCATCGAAATGTTCAAAGAGGTCCACATATCCGCTTGCAGATTCCACCGAAAGAGTGTTTCCAAACTGCTGTATCAAAAGGAATCTTCAACTCCGTGAGTTGAATGCAATCATCACAAAGAAGTTTCTGACAATGCTTCTCTCTAGTTTTTATGTGAAGATATTTCCTTTTCCACCACAGGCCTGAAAGCGCTCCAAATGTCCACTTGGAGAATCTACGAAAAGAATGTTTCAAAACTGCTCTATGAAAAGCAATGTTATACTCTGGGGGTTGAACACAAGCCTCACAAAGGAGTTTCTGAGAATGCTTCTGTTTACTTTTTACGTGAAGATATTCCCGTTTCCAAAGAAATCTTCACAGAGTTCCACCTATCCATTTGCAGATGCTAGAAAAAGAGAGTTTCAAAACTGCTCTATCAAAAGGAATGTTCAACTCTGTGAGTTGAATGCAATCATCACAGAGAAGTTTCTGAGAAGGCTTCTGTCTAGATTTTTTGTGAAGATATACCCGTTTCGAACGAAGGCCACAAAGTGCTCCAAATATGCACTTGCATGTCCTCCAACAAGAGTGTTTCAAACGTGAACTATCAAAGGAAGGTTCAACTCTGGACTTTGAATGCAAACGTCAGAAAGATGTTTCTGCGAAAGCTTCTGTTTAGTTAGGTGACGTTATCCCGTTTCCAACGAAATCCTCAGAGAGGTCCAAATATCCACCTGCAGATTCTGCAAAAAGTGTGTTTCCAAACTGCTCCACCCAAAGGCATGTTCAGCTCTGTGAGTTAAACTCAATCATCACAAAGTATTTTCTGAGAATGCTTCTGTCCAGTTTTTACATGAAGCTGTTTCCTTTACTACCGTAGGCCTCAAAGCGTTCCAAATCTCAACTTGCAGATACTACGAAAAGGGCGTTTCAACCTGAACTCTCAAGGGAAGGTTCAACTCTGTCAGTTGAATGCCAACATCACAAAGAAGTTACTGGGAGTGTTTCTCTTCAGTTATGTGAGTTTTATCCCGTTTCCAACGAAATTCTCAGGAGAAGTACAAATATCCACTTGCATATTCTACAAAAAGTGTGTTTTGAATGTGCTCCATCAAAAGATATGCTCAGCTCTGTGAGTTAAACTCAATCATCACAAAGAATTTTCTGAGAATGCTTCTGTCTTGTTTTAGGATGAAGTTATTTCCTTTACGACGATAGGCCTCAAAGAGGTCCAAATCTCCACTTGCAGATTCTGCAGAAGGAGTGTTTCAAACCTGAACTATCAGAGAAAGGTTCAACACTGTGAGTTGAATGCAAGCATCACGAAGAAGGTTCTGAGAATGCTTCTGTTTAGATAGGTGAGTTTTCTCCCGTATCCAACGAAATCCTCAGAGAGGTCCAAATATCCACTTGCAGATTCTACAGAAAGTGTGTTTTGAAACTGCTCCATCCAAAGGAATGTTCAGCTCTGTGAGTTGAACTCAATCGTCACAAAGTGTTTCCTGGGAATGCTACTGTCTAGTTTTTATGGGCAGTTATATCCTCTGCTGCCATAGGCCTCAAAGCGGTCCAAATCTCCCCTTTCAGATTCTACCAAAAGTGTGTTTCCAAACGGCTCTATCACAGGGAATGTTCAACTCTGTGACTTGAATGCAATCATCACAAAGCAGTTTCTGAGAATGCTTCCATGTAGCTTTTATGAGAAGATATTTCCTTTTCCACCCCAGGCCTCGAAGCCCTCCAAATGTCCCCTTGCAGATGCTAGAAAGAGAGGGTTTCAAAGCTGCTCTATCAGAAGGAAAGTACAACTCTGTGAGTTGAATGAAAACATCACAAAGAAGTTCCTGAGCATGCTTCCGTTTAGCTTTTATGGGAAGATTATCCCTTTTCCATCGAAATATTCAAAGAGGTCCACATATCCGCTTGCAGATTCCACCGAAAGAGGGATTCCAAATTGCTGTATCGAAAGGAATCTTCAACTCCGTGAGTTGAATGCAATCATCACAAAGAAGTTTCTGACAATGCTTCTCTCTAGTTTTTATGTGAAGATATTTCCTTTTCCACCACAGGCCTGAAAGCACTCCAAATGTCCACTTGGAGACTCTACGAAAAGAATGTTTCAAAACTGCTCTATGAAAAGCAATGTTATACTCTGGGAGTTGAACACAAGCCTCACAAAGGAGTTTCTGAGAATGCTTCTGTTTACTTTTTACGTGAAGATATTCCCGTTTCCAAAGAAATCTTCACAGACTTCCACCTATCCATTTGCAGATGCTAGAAAAAGAGAGTTTCAAAACTGCTCTATCAAAAGGAATGTTCAACTCTGTGAGTTGAATGCAGTCATCACAGAGAAGTTTCTGAGAAGGCTTCTGTCTAGATTTTATGTGAAGATATACCCGTTTCGAACGAAGGCCACAAAGTGCTCCAAATATCCACTTGCAGGTCCTCCAACAAGAGTGTTTCAAACGTGAACTATCAAAGGAAGGTTCAACTCTGGACTTTGAATGCAAACGTCAGAAAGATGTTTCTGCGAAAGCTTCTGTTTAGTTAGGTGACGTTATCCCGTTTCCAACGAAATCCTCAGAGAGGTCCAAATATCCACCTGCAGATTCTGCAAAAAGTGTGTTTCCAAACTGCTCCACCCAAAGGCATGTTCAGCTCTGTGAGTTAAACTCAATCATCACAAAGTATTTTCTGAGAATGCTTCTGTCCAGTTTTTACATGAAGCTGTTTCCTTTACTACCGTAGGCCTCAAAGCGTTCCAAATCTCCACTTGCAGATACTACGAAAAGAGCGTTTCAACCTGAACTCACAAGGGAAGGTTCAACTCTGTCAGTTGAATGCCAACATCACAAAGAAGTTCTGGGAATGTTTCTCTTCAGTTATGTGAGTTTTATCCCGTTTCCAACGAAATTCTCAGAGAAGTACAAATATCCACTTGCATATTCTACAAAAAGTGTGTTTTGAAAATGCTCCATCAAAAGATATGCTCAGCTCTGTGAGTTAAACTCAATCATCACAAAGAATATTCTGAGAATGCTTCTGTCTTGTTTTAGGATGAAGTTATTTCCTTTACGACGATAGGCCTCAAAGAGGTCCAAATCTCCACTTGCAGAATCTGCAGAAGGAGTGTTTCAAACCTGAACTATCAGAGAAAGGTTCAACACTGTGAGTTGAATGCAAGCATCACGAAGAAGGTTCTGAGAATGCTTCTGTTTAGATAGGTGAGTTTTCTCCCGTATCCAACGAAATCCTCAGAGAGGTCCAAATATCCACTTGCAGATTCTACAGAAAGTGTGTTTTGAAACTGCTCCATCTAAAGGAATGGTCAGCTGTGTGAGTTGAACTCAATCGTAACAAAGTGTTTCCTGGGAATGCTACTGTCTAGTTTTTATGGGCAGTTATATCCTCTGCTGCCATAGGCCTCAAAGCGGTCCAAATCTCCCCTTTCAGATTCTACCAAAAGTGTGTTTCCAAAAGGCTCTATCAAAGGGAATGTTCAACTCTGTGACTTGAATGCAATCATCACAAAGCAGTTTCTGAGAATGCTTCCATGTAGCTTTTATGAGAAGATATTTCCTTTTCCACCCCAGCCTCGAAGCCCTCCAAATGTCCCCTTGCAGATGCTAGAAAGAGAGGGTTTCAAAGCTGCTCTATCAAAAGGAAAGTACAACTCTGTGAGTTGAATGCAAACATCACAAAGAGGTTCCTGAGCATGCTTCCGTTTAGCTTTTATGGGAAGATTATCCGTTTTCCATCGCAATGTTCAAAGAGGTCCACATATCCGCTTGCAGATTCCACCGAAAGACTGTTTCCAAACTGCTGTATCAAAAGGAATCTTCAACTCCGTGAGTTGAATGCAATCATCACAAAGAAGTTTCTGACAATGCTTCTCTCTAGTTTTTATGTGAAGATATTTCCTTTTCCACCACAGGCCTGAAAGCGCTCCAAATGTCCACTTGGAGACTCTACGAAAAGAATGTTTCAAAACTGCTCTATGAAAAGCAATGTTATACTATGGGAGTTGAACACAAGCCTCACAAAGGAGTTTCTGAGAATGCTTCTGTTTACTTTTTACGTGAAGATATTCCCGTTTCCAAAGAAATCTTCACAGAGTTCCACCTATCCATTTGCAGATGCTAGAAAAAGAGAGTTTCAAAACTGCTCTATCAAAAGGAATGTTCAACTCTGTGAGTTGAATGCAATCATCACAGAGAAGTTTCTGAGAAGGCTTCTGTCTAGATTTTTTGTGAAGATATACCCGTTTCGAACGAAGGCCACAAAGTGCTCCAAATACCCACTTGCAGGTCCTCCAACAAGAGTGTTTCAAACGTGAACTATCAAAGGAAGGTTCAACTCTGGACTTTGAATGCAAACGTCAGAAAGATGTTTCTGCGAAAGCTTCTGTTTAGTTAGGTGACGTTATCCCGTTTCCAACGAAATCCTCAGAGAGGTCCAAATATCCACCTGCAGATTCTGCAAAAAGTGTGTTTCCAAACTGCTCCACCCAAAGGAATGTTCAGCTCTGTGAGTTAAACTCAATCATCACAAAGTATTTTCTGAGAATGCTTCTGTCCAGTTTTTACATGAAGCTGTTTCCTTTACTACCGTAGGCCTCAAAGCGTTCCAAATCTCCACTTGCAGATACTACGAAAAGAGCGTTTCAACCTGAACTCACAAGGGAAGGTTCAACTCTGTCAGTTGAATGCCAACATCACAAAGAAGTTCTGGGAATGTTTCTCTTCAGTTATGTGAGTTTTATCCCGTTTCCAACGAAATTCTCAGAGAAGTACAAATATCCACTTGCATATTCTACACAAAGTGTGTTTTGAAAGTGCTCCATCAAAAGATATGCTCAGCTCTGTGAGTTAAACTCAATCATCACAAAGAATTTTCTGAGAATGCTTCTGTCTTGTTTTAGGATGAAGTTATTTCCTTTACGACGATAGGCCTCAAAGAGGTCCAAATCTCCACTTGCAGATTCTGCAGAAGGAGTGTTTCAAACCTGAACTATCAGAGAAAGGTTCAACACTGTGAGTTGAATGCAAGCATCACGAAGAAGGTTCTGAGAATGCTTCTGTTTAGATAGGTGAGTTTTCTCCCGTATCCAACGAAATCCTCAGAGAGGTCCAAATATCCACTTGCAGATTCTACAGAAAGTGTGTTTTGAAACTGCTCCATCCAAAGGAATGTTCAGCTCTGTGAGTTGAACTCAATCGTCACAAAGTGTTTCCTGGGAATGCTACTGTCTAGTTTTTATGGGCAGTTATATCCTCTGCTGCCATAGGCCTCAAAGCGGTCCAAATCTCCCCTTTCAGATTCTACCAAAAGTGTGTTTCCAAACGGCTCTATCAAAGGGAATGTTCAACTCTGTGACTTGCATGCAATCATCACAAAGCAGTTTCTGAGAATGCTTCCATGTAGCTTTTATGAGCAGATATTTCCTTTTCCACCCCAGGCCTCGAAGCCCTCCAAATGTCCCCTTGCAGATGCTAGAAAGAGAGGGTTTCAAAGCTGCTCTATCAAAAGGAAAGTACAACTCTGTGAGATGAATGCAAACATCACAAAGAAGTTCCTGAGCATGCTTCCGTTTAGCTTTTATGGGAAGATTATCCCTTTTCCATCGAAATGTTCAAAGAGGTCCACATATCCGCTTGCAGATTCCACCGAAAGAATGTTTCCAAACTGCTGTATCAAAAGGAATCTTCAACTCCGTGAGTTGAATGCAATCATCACAAAGAAGTTTCTGACAACGCTTCTCTCTAGTTTTTATATGAAGATATTTCCTTTTCCACCACAGGCCTGAAAGCGCTCCAAATGTCCACTTGGAGACTCTACGAAAAGAATGTTTCAAAACTGCTCTATGAAAAGCAATGTTATACTCTGGGAGTTGAACACAAGCCTCACAAAGGAGTTTCTGAGAATGCTTCTGTTTACTTTTTACGTGAAGATATTCCCGTTTCCAAAGAAATCTTCACAGGCTTCCACCTATCCATTTGCAGATGCTAGAAAAAGAGAGTTTCAAAACTGCTCTATCAAAAGGAATGTTCAACTCTGTGAGTTGAATGCAGTCATCACAGAGAAGTTTCTGAGAAGGCTTCTGTCTAGATTTTATGTGAAGATATACCCGTTTCGAACAAAGGCCACAAAGTGCTCCAAATATCCACTTGCGGGTCCTCCAACAAGAGTGTTTCAAACGTGAACTATCAAAGGAAGGTTCAACTCTGGACTTTGAATGCAAACGTCAGAAAGATGTTTCTGCGAAAGCTTCTGTTTAGTTAGGTGACGTTATCCCGTTTCCAACGAAATCCTCAGAGAGGTCCAAATATCCACCTGCAGATTCTGCAAAAAGTGTGTTTCCAAACTGCTCCACCCAAAGGCATGTTCAGCTCTGTGAGTTAAACTCAATCATCACAAAGTATTTTCTGAGAATGCTTCTGTCCAGTTTTTACATGAAGCTGTTTCCTTTACTACCGTAGGCCTCAAAGCGTTCCAAATCTCCACTTGCAGATACTACGAAAAGAGCGTTTCAACCTGAACTCACAAGGGAAGGTTCAACTCTGTCAGTTGAATGCCAACATCACAAAGAAGTTCTGGGAATGTTTCTCTTCAGTTATGTGAGTTTTATCCCGTTTCCAACGAAATTCTCAGAGAAGTACAAATATCCCCTTGCATATTCTACAAAAAGTGTGTTTTGAAAATGCTCCATCAAAAGATATGCTCAGCTCTGTGAGTTAAACTCAATCATCACAAAGAATTTTCTGAGAATGCTTCTGTCTTGTTTTAGGATGAAGTTATTTCCTTTACGACGATAGGCCTCAAAGAGGTCCAAATCTCCACTTGCAGATTCTGCAGAAGGAGTGTTTCAAACCTGAACTATCAGAGAAAGGTTCAACACTGTGAGTTGAATGCAAGCATCACGAAGAAGGTTCTGAGAATGCTTCTGTTTAGATAGGTGAGTTTTCTCCCGTATCCAACGAAATCCTCAGGGAGGTCCAAATATCCACTTGCAGATTCTACAGAAAGTGTGTTTTGAAACTGCTCCATCCAAAGGAATGTTCAGCTCTGTGAGTTGAACTCAATCGTCACAAAGTGTTTCCTGGGAATGCTACTGTCTAGTTTTTATGTGCAGTTATATCCTCTGCTGCCATAGGCCTCAAAGCGGTCCAAATCTCTCCTTTCAGATTCTCCCAAAAGTGTGTTTCCAAACGGCTCTATCAAAGGGAATGTTCAAGTCTGTGACTTGAATGCAATCATCACAAAGCAGTTTCTGAGAATGCTTCCATGTAGCTTTAATGAGCAGATATTTCCTTTTCCACCCCAGGCCTCGAAGCCCTCCAAATGTCCCCTTGCAGATGCTAGAAAGAGAGGGTTTCAAAGCTGCTCTATCAAAAGGAAAGTACAACTCTGTGAGTTGAATGCAAACATCACAAAGAAGCTCCTGAGCATGCTTCCGTTTAGCTTTTATGGGAAGATTATCCCTTTTCCATCGAAATGTTCAAAGAGGTCCACATGTCCGCTTGCAGATTCCACCGAAAGAGTGTTTCCAAACTGCTGTATCAAAAGGAATCTTCAACTCCGTGAGTTGAATGCAATCATCACAAAGAAGTTTCTGACAACGCTTCTCTCTAGTTTTTATGTGAAGATATTTCCTTTTCCACCACAGGCCTGAAAGCGCTCCAAATGTCCACTTGGAGACTCTACGAAAAGAATGTTTCAAAACTGCTCTATGAAAAGCAATGTTATACTCTGGGAGTTGAACACAAGCCTCACAAAGGAGTTTCTGAGAATGCTTCTGTTTACTTTTTACGTGAAGATATTCCCGTTTCCAAAGAAATCTTCACAGACTTCCACCTATCCATTTGCAGATGCTAGAAAAAGAGAGTTTCAAAACTGCTCTATCAAAAGGAATGTTCAACTCTGTGAGTTGAATGCAGTCATCACAGAGAAGTTTCTGAGAAGGCTTCTGTCTAGATTTTATGTGAAGATATACCCGTTTCGAACAAAGGCCACAAAGTGCTCCAAATATCCACTTGCAGGTCCTCCAACAAGAGTGTTTCAAACGTGAACTATCAAAGGAAGGTTCAACTCTGGACTTTGAATGCAAACGTCAGAAAGATGTTTCTGCGAAAGCTTCTGTTTAGTTAGGTGACATTATCCCGTTTCCAACGAAATCCTCAGAGAGGTGAAATATCCACCTGCAGATTCTGCAAAAAGTGTGTTTCCAAACTGCTCCACCCAAAGGAATGTTCAGCTCTGTGAGTTAAACTCAATCATCACAAAGTATTTTCTGAGAATGCTTCTGTCCAGTTTTTACATGAAGCTGTTTCCTTTACTACCGTAGGCCTCAAAGCGTTCCAAATCTCCACTTGCAGATACTACGAAAAGAGCGTTTCAACCTGAACTCACAAGGGAAGGTTCAACTCTGTCAGTTGAATGCCAACGTCACAAAGAAGTTCTGGGAATGTTTCTCTTCAGTTATGTGAGTTTTATCCCGTTTCCAACGAAATTCTCAGAGAAGTACAAATATCCACTTGCATATTCTACAAAAAGTGTGTTTTGAAAGTGCTCCATCAAAAGATATGCTCAGCTCTGTGAGTTAAACTCAATCATCACAAAGAATTTTCTGAGAATGCTTCTGTCTTGTTTTAGGATGAAGTTATTTCCTTTACGACGATAGGCCTCAAAGAGGTCCAAATCTCCACTTGCAGATTCTGCAGAAGGAGTGTTTCAAACCTGAACTATCAGAGAAAGGTTCAACACTGTGAGTTGAATGCAAGCATCACGAAGAAGGTTCTGAGAATGCTTCTGTTTAGATAAGTGAGTTTTCTCCCGTATCCAACGAAATCCTCAGAGAGGTCCAAATATCCACTTGCAGATTCTACAGAAAGTGTGTTTTGAAACTGCTCCATCCAAAGGAATGTTCAGCTCTGTGAGTTGAACTCAATCGTCACAAAGTGTTTCCTGGGAATGCTACTGTCTAGTTTTTATGGGCAGTTATATCCTCTGCTGCCATAGGCCTCAAAGCGGTCCAAATCTCCCCTTTCAGATTCTACCAAAAGTGTGTTTCCAAACGGCTCTATCAAAGGGAATGTTCAACTCTGTGACTTGAATGCAATCATCACAAAGCAGTTTCTGAGAATGCTTCCATGTAGCTTTTAGGAGCAGATATTTCCTTTTCCACCCCAGGCCTCGAAGCCCTCCAAATGTCCCCTGGCAGATGCTAGAAAGAGAGGGTTTCAAAGCTGCTCTATCAAAAGGAAAGTACAACTCTGTGAGTTGAATGCAAACATCACAAAGAAGTTCCTGAGCATGCTTCCGTTTAGCTTTTATGGGAAGATTATCCCTTTTCCATCGAAATGTTCAAAGAGGTCCACATATCCGCTTGCAGATTCCACCGAAAGAGTGTTTCCAAACTGCTGTATCAAAAGGAATCTTCAACTCCGTGAGTTGAATGCAATCATCACAAAGAAGTTTCTGACAATGCTTCTCTCTAGTTTTTATGTGAAGATATTTCCTTTTCCACCACAGGCCTGAAAGCGCTCCAAATGTCCACTTGGAGACTCTACGAAAAGAATGTTTCAAAACTGCTCTATGAAAAGCAATGTTATACTCTGGGAGTTGAACACAAGCCTCACAAAGGAGTTTCTGAGAATGCTTCTGTTTACTTTTTACGTGAAGATATTCCCGTTTCCAAAGAAATCTTCACAGGCTTCCACCTATCCATTTGCAGATGCTAGAAAAAGAGAGTTTCAAAACTGCTCTATCAAAAGGAATGTTCAACTCTGTGAGTTGAATGCAGTCATCACAGAGAAGTTTCTGAGAAGGCTTCTGGCTAGATTTTATGTGAAGATATACCCGTTTCGAACAAAGGCCACAAAGTGCTCCAAATATCCACTTGCGGGTCCTCCAACAAGAGTGTTTCAAACGTGAACTATCAAAGGAAGGTTCAACTCTGGACTTTGAATGCAAACGTCAGAAAGATGTTTCTGCGAAAGCTTCTGTTTAGTTAGGTGACGTTATCACGTTTCCAAGGAAATCCTCAGAGAGGTCCAAATATCCACCTGCAGATTCTGCAAAAAGTGTGTTTCCAAACTGCTCCACTCAAAGGCATGTTCAGCTCTGTGAGTTAAACTCAATCATCACAAAGTATTTTCTGAGAATGCTTCTGTCCAGTTTTTACATGAAGCTGTTTCCTTTACTACCGTAGGCCTCAAAGCGTTCCAAATCTCCACTTGCAGATACTACGAAAAGAGCGTTTCAACCTGAACTCACAAGGGAAGGTTCAACTCTGTCAGTTGAATGCCAACATCACAAAGAAGTTCTGGGAATGTTTCTCTTCAGTTATGTGAGTTTTATCCCGTTTCCAACGAAATTCTCAGAGAAGTACAAATATCCACTTGCATATTCTACAAAAAGTGTGTTTTGAAAGTGCTCCATCAAAAGATATGCTCAGCTCTGTGAGTTAAACTCAATCATCACAAAGAATTTTCTGAGAATGCTTCTGTCTTGTTTTAGGATGAAGTTATTTCCTTTACGACGATAGGCCTCAAAGAGGTCCAAATCTCCACTTGCAGATTCTGCAGAAGGAGTGTTTCAAACCTGAACTATCAGAGAAAGTTTCAGCACTGTGAGTTGAATGCAAGCATCACGAAGAAGGTTCTGAGAATGCCTCTGTTTAGATAGGTGAGTTTTCTCCCGTATCCAACGAAATCCTCAGAGAGGTCCAAATATCCACTTGCAGATTCTACAGAAAGTGTGTTTTGAAACTGCTCCATCCAAAGGAATGTTCAGCTCTGTGAGTTGAACTCAATCGTCACAAAGTGTTTCCTGGGAATGCTAACTGTCTAGTTTTTATGGGCAGTTATATCCTCTGCTGCCATAGGCCTCAAAGCGGTCCAAATCTCCCCTTTCAGATTCTACCAAAAGTGTGTTTCCAAACGGCTCTATCAAAGGGAATGTTCAACTCTGTGACTTGAATGCAATCATCACAAAGCAGTTTCTGAGAATGCTTCCATGTAGCTTTAATGAGCAGATATTTCCTTTTCCACCCCAGGCCTCGAAGCCCTCCAAATGTCCCCTTGCAGATGCTAGAAAGAGAGGGTTTCAAAGCTGCTCTATCAAAAGGAAAGTACAACTCTGTGAGTTGAATGCAAACATCACAAAGAAGCTCCTGAGCATGCTTCCGTTTAGCTTTTATGGGAAGATTATCCCTTTTCCATCGAAATGTTCAAAGAGGTCCACATATCCGCTTGCAGATTCCACCGAAAGAGCGTTTCCAAACTGCTGTATCAAAAGGAATCTTCAACTCCGTGAGTTGAATGCAATCATCACAAAGAAGTTTCTGACAACGCTTCTCTCTAGTTTTTATGTGAAGATATTTCCTTTTCCACCACAGGCCTGAAAGCGCTCCAAATGTCCACTTGGAGACTCTACGAAAAGAATGTTTCAAAACTGCTCTATGAAAAGCAATGTTATACTCTGGGAGTTGAACACAAGCCTCACAAAGGAGTTTCTGAGAATGCTTCTGTTTACTTTTTACGTGAAGATATTCCAGTTTCCAAAGAAATCTTCACAGGCTTCCACCTATCCATTTGCAGATGCTAGAAAAAGGGAGTTTCAAAACTGCTCTATCAAAAGGAATGTTCAACTCTGTGAGTTGAATGCAGTCATCACAGAGAAGTTTCTGAGAAGGCTTCTGTCTAGATTTTATGTGAAGATATACCCGTTTCGAACAAAGGCCACAAAGTGCTCCAAATATCCACTTGCAGGTCCTCCAACAAGAGTGTTTCAAACGTGAACTATCAAAGGAAGGTTCAACTCTGGACTTTGAATGCAAACGTCAGAAAGATGTTTCTGCGAAAGCTTCTGTTTAGTTAGGTGACGTTATCCCGTTTCCAACGAAATCCTCAGAGAGGTCCAAATATCCACCTGCAGATTCTGCAAAAAGTGTGTTTCCAAACTGCTCCACCCAAAGGCATGTTCAGCTCTGTGAGTTAAACTCAATCATCACAAAGTATTTTCTGAGAATGCTTCTGTCCAGTTTTTACATGAAGCTGTTTCCTTTACTACCGTAGGCCTCAAAGCGTTCCAAATCTCCACTTGCAGATACTACGAAAAGGGCGTTTCAACCTGAACTCACAAGGGAAGGTTTAACTCTGTCAGTTGAATGCCAACATCACAAAGAAGTTCTGGGAATGTTTCTCTTCAGTTATGTGAGTTTTATCCCGTTTCCAACGAAATTCTCAGAGAAGTACAAATATCCACTTGCATATTCTACAAAAAGTGTGTTTTGAAAGTGCTCCATCAAAAGATATGCTCAGCTCTGTGAGTTAAACTCAATCATCACAAAGAATTTTCTGAGAATGCTTCTGTCTTGTTTTAGGATGAAGTTATTTCCTTTACGACGATAGGCCTCAAAGAGGTCCAAATCTCCACTTGCAGATTCTGCAGAAGGAGTGTTTCAAACCTGAACTATCAGAGAAAGGTTCAACACTGTGAGTTGAATGCAAGCATCACGAAGAAGGTTCTGAGAATGCTTCTGTTTAGATAGGTGAGTTTTCTCCCGTATCCAACGAAATCCTCAGAGAGGTCCAAATATCCACTTGCAGATTCTACAGAAAGTGTGTTTTGAAACTGCTCCATCCAAAGGAATGTTCAGCTCTGTGAGTTGAACTCAATCGTCACAAAGTGTTTCCTGGGAATGCTACTGTCTAGTTTTTATGGGCAGTTATATCCTCTGCTGCCATAGGCCTCAAAGCGGTCCAAATCTCCCCTTTCAGATTCTACCAAAAGTGTGTTTCCAAACGGCTCTATCAAAGGGAATGTTCAACTCTGTGACTTGCATGCAATCATCACAAAGCAGTTTCTGAGAATGCTTCCATGTAGCTTTTAGGAGAAGATATTTCCTTTTCCACCCCAGGCCTTGAAGCCCTCCAAATGTCCCCTTGCAGATGCTAGAAAGAGAGGGTTTCAAAGCTGCTCTATCAAAAGGAAAGTACAACTCTGTGAGTTGAATGCAAACATCACAAAGAAGTTCCTGAGCATGCTTCCGTTTAGCTTTCATGGGAAGATTATCCCTTTTCCATCGAAATGTTCAAAGAGGTCCACATATCCCCTTGCAGATTCCACCGAAAGAGTGTCTCCAAACTGCTGTATCAAAAGGAATCTTCAACTCCGTGAGTTGAATGCAATCATCACAAAGAAGTTTCTGACAATGCTTCTCTCTAGTTTTTATGTGAAGATATTTCCTTTTCCACCACAGGCCAGAAAGCGCTCCTAATGTCCACTTGGGGACTCTACGACAAGAATGTTTCAAAACTGCTCTATGAAAAGCAATGTTATTCTCTGGGAGTTGAACACAAGCCTCACAAAGGAGTTTCTGAGAATGCTTCTGTTTACTTTTTACGTGAAGATATTCCCGTTTCCAAAGAAATCTTCACAGAGTTCCACCTATCCATTTGCAGATGCTAGAAAAAGAGAGTTTCAAAACTGCTCTATCAAAAGGAATGTTCAAATCTGTGAGTTGAATGCAATCATCGCAGAGAAGTTTCTGAGAAGGCTTCTGTCTAGATTTTATGTGAAGATATACCCGTTTCGAACAAAGGCCACAAAGTGCTCCAAATATCCACTTGCAGGTCCTCCAACAAGAGTGTTTCAAACGTGAACTATCAAAGGAAGGTTCAACTCTGGACTTTGAATGCAAACGTCAGAAAGATGTTTCTGCGAAAGCTTCTGTATAGTTAGGTGACGTTATCCCGTTTCCAACGAAATCCTCAGAGAGGTCCAAATATCCACCTGCAGATTCTGCAAAAAGTGTGTTTCCAAACTGCTCCACCCAAAGGAATGTTCAGCTCTGTGAGTTAAACTCAATCATCACAAAGTATTTTCTGAGAATGCTTCTGTCCAGTTTTTACATGAAGCTGTTTCCTTTGAGACCATAGGCCTCAAAGCGTTCCAAATCTCCACTTGCAGATACTACGAAAAGAGCGTTTCAACCCGAACTCAAAAGGGAAGGTTCAACTCTGTCAGTTGAATGCCAACATCACAAAGAAGTTCTGGGAATGTTTCTCTTCAGTTATGTGAGTTTTATCCCGTTTCCAACGAAATTCTCAGAGAAGTACAAATATCCACTTGCATATTCTACAAAAAGTGTGTTTTGAAAATACTCCATCAAAAGATATGCTCAGCTCTGTGAGTTAAACTCAATCATCACAAAGAATTTTCTGAGAATGCTTCTGTCTTGTTTTAGGATGAAGTTATTTCCTTTACGACGATAGGCCTCAAAGAGGTCCAAATCTCCACTTGCAGATTCTGCAGAAGGAGTGTTTCAAACCTGAACTATCAGAGAAAGGTTCAACACTGTGAGTTGAATGCAAGCATCACGAAGAAGGTTCTGAGAATGCCTCTGTTTAGATAGGTGAGTTTTCTCCCGTATCCAACGAAATCCTCAGAGAGGTCCAAATATCCACTTGCAGATTCTACAGAAAGTGTGTTTTGAAACTGCTCCATCCAAAGGAATGTTCAGCTCTGTGAGTTGAACTCAATCGTCACAAATTGTTTCCTGGGAATGCTACTGTCTAGTTTTTATGGGCAGTTATATCCTCTGCTGCCATAGGCCTCAAAGCGGTCCAAATCTCCCCTTTCAGATTCTACCAAAAGTGTGTTTCCAAACGGCTCTATCAAAGGGAATGTTCAACTCTGTGACTTGAATGCAATCATCACAAAGCAGTTTCTGAGAATGCTTCCATGTAGCTTTTATGAGCAGATATTTCCTTTTCCACCCCAGGCCTCGAAGCCCTCCAAATGTCCCCTTGCAGATGCTAGAAAGAGAGGGTTTCAAAGCTGCTCTATCAAAAGGAAAGTACAACTTCTGTGAGTTGAATGCAAACATCACAAAGAAGTTCCTGAGCATGCTTTCGTTTAGCTTTTCGGAAGATTATCCCTTTTCCATCGAAATCTTCAAAGAGGTCCAAATATCCGCCTGCAGATTCCACCGAAAGAGTGTTTCCAAACTGCTGTATCAAAAGGAATCTTCAACTCCGTGAGTTGAATGCAATCATCACAAAGAAGTTTCTGACAATGCTTCTCTCTAGTTTTTATGTGATGATATTTCCTTTGCCACAACAGGCCTGAAAGCGCTCTAAATGTCCACTTGCAGACATTACAAAAAGAATGTTTCAAAACTGCTCTATGAAGAGCAATGTTAAACTCTGGGAGTTGAACACAAGCCTCACAAAGAAGTTTCTGAGAATGCTTCTGTTTACTTTTTATGTGAAGATATTCTTGTTTCCAAGGAAATCTTCACAGAGGTCCACATATCCACTTGCAGATTCTACACAAAGAGAGTTTCAAAACTGTTCTATCAAAAGGAATGTTCAACACTGTGAGTTGCATGCAATCATCACAGAGAAGTTTCTGAGAAGGCTTCTGTCTAGATTTTATGTGAAGATATACCCGTTCCGAACAAAGGCCACAAAGTGCTGCAAATATCCACTTGCAGGTCCTCCAACAAGAGTGTTTCAAACGTGAACTATCAAAGGAAGGTTCAACTCTGGACTTTGAATGCAAACGTCAGAAAGATGTTTCTGCGAAAGCTTCTGTTTAGTTAGGTGACGTTATCCCGTTTCCAACGAAATCCTCAGAGAGGTCCAAATATCCACCTGCAGATTCTGCAAAAAGTGTGTTTCCAAACTGCTCCACCCAAAGGCATGTTCAGCTCTGTGAGTTAAACTCAATCATCACAAAGTATTTTCTGAGAATGCTTCTGTCCAGTTTTTACATGAAGCTGTTTCCTTTACTACCGTAGGCCTCAAAGCGTTCCAAATCTCCACTTGCAGATACTACGAAAAGAGCGTTTCAACCTGAACTCACGAGGGAAGGTTCAACTCTGTCAGTTGAATGCCAACATCACAAAGAAGTTCTGGGAATGTTTCTCTTCAGTTATGTGAGTTTTATCCCGTTTCCAACGAAATTCTCAGAGAAGTACAAATATCCACTTGCATATTCTACAAAAAGTGTGTTTTGAAAGTGCTCCATCAAAAGATATGCTCAGCTCTGTGAGTTAAACTCAATCATCACAAAGAATTTTCTGAGAATGCTTCTGTCTTGTTTTAGGATGAAGTTATTTCCTTTACGACGATAGGCCTCAAAGAGGTCCAAATCTCCACTTGCAGATTCTGCAGAAGGAGTGTTTCAAACCTGAACTATCAGAGAAAGGTTCAACACTGTGAGTTGAATGCAAGCATCACGAAGAAGGTTGCTGAGAATGCTTCTGTTTAGATAGGTGAGTTTTCTCCCGTATCCAACGAAATCCTCAGAGAGGTCCAAATATCCACTTGCAGATTCTACAGAAAGTGTGTTTTGAAACTGCTCCATCCAAAGGAATGTTCAGCTCTGTGAGTTGAACTCAGTCGTCACAAAGTGTTTCCTGGGAATGCTACTGTCTAGTTTTTATGTGCAGTTATATCCTCTGCTGCCATAGGCCTCAAAGCGGTCCAAATCTCCCCTTTCAGATTCTACCAAAAGTGTGTTTCCAAACGGCTCTATCAAAGGGAATGTTCAACTCTGTGACTTGAATGCAATCATCACAAAGCAGTTTCTGAGAATGCTTCCATGTAGCTTTTATGAGCAGATATTTCCTTTTCCACCCCAGGCCTCGAAGCCCTCCAAATGTCCCCTTGCAGATGCTAGAAAGAGAGGGTTTCAAAGCTGCTCTATCAAAAGGAAAGTACAACTCTGTGAGTTGAATGCAAACATCACAAAGAAGTTCCTGAGCATGCTTCCGTTTAGCTTTTATGGGAAGATTATCCCTTTTCCATCGAAATGTTCAAAGAGGTCCACATATCCGCTTGCAGATTCCACCGAAAGAGCGTTTCCAAACTGCTGTATCAAAAGGAATCTTCAACTCCGTGAGTTGAATGCAATCATCACAAAGAAGTTTCTGACAACGCTTCTCTCTAGTTTTTATATGAAGATATTTCCTTTTCCACCACAGGCCTGAAAGCGCTCCAAATGTCCACTTGGAGACTCTACGAAAAGAATGTTTCAAAACTGCTCTATGAAAAGCAATGTTATACTCTGGGAGTTGAACACAAGCCTCACAAAGGAGTTTCTGAGAATGCTTCTGTTTACTTTTTACGTGAAGATATTCCCGTTTCCAAAGAAATCTTCACAGACTTCCACCTATCCATTTGCAGATGCTTGAAAAAGAGAGTTTCAAAACTGCTCTATCAAAAGGAATGTTCAACTCTGTGAGTTGAATGCAGTCATCACAGAGAAGTTTCTGAGAAGGCTTCTGTCTAGATTTTTTGTGAAGATATACCCGTTTCGAACGAAGGCCACAAAGTGCTCCAAATATCCACTTGCAGGTCCTCCAACAAGAGTGTTTCAAACGTGAACTATCAAAGGAAGGTTCAACTCTGGACTTTGAATGCAAACGTCAGAAAGATGTTTCTGCGAAAGCTTCTGTTTAGTTAGGTGACGTTATCCCGTTTCCAACGAAATCCTCAGAGAGGTCCAAATATCCACCTGCAGATTCTGCAAAAAGTGTGTTTCCAAACTGCTCCACCCAAAGGCATGTTCAGCTCTGTGAGTTAAACTCAATCATCACAAAGTATTTTCTGAGAATGCTTCTGTCCACTTTTTACATGAAGCTGTTTCCTTTACTACCGTAGGCCTCAAAGCGTTCCAAATCTCCACTTGCAGATACTACGAAAAGAGCGTTTCAACCTGAACTCACAAGGGAAGGTTCAACTCTGTCAGTTGAATGCCAACATCACAAAGAAGTTCTGGGAATGTTTCTCTTCAGTTATGTGAGTTTTATCCCGTTTCCAACGAAATTCTCAGAGAAGTACAAATATCCACTTGCATATTCTACAAAAAGTGTGTTTTGAAAGTGCTCCATCAAAAGATATGCTCAGCTCTGTGAGTTAAACTCAATCATCACAAAGAATTTTCTGAGAATGCTTCTGTCTTGTTTTAGGATGAAGTTATTTCCTTTACGACGATAGGCCTCAAAGAGGTCCAAATCTCCACTTGCAGATTCTGCAGAAGGAGTGTTTCAAACCTGAACTATCAGAGAAAGGTTCAACACTGTGAGTTGAATGCAAGCATCACGAAGAAGGTTCTGAGAATGCTTCTGTTTAGATAGGTGAGTTTTCTCCCGTATCCAACGAAATCCTCAGAGAGGTCCAAATATCCACTTGCAGATTCTACAGAAAGTGTGTTTTGAAACTGCTCCATCCAAAGGAATGTTCAGCTCTGTGAGTTGAACTGAATCGTCACAAAGTGTTTCCTGGGAATGCTACTGTCTAGTTTTTATGGGCAGTTACATCCTCTGCTGCCATAGGCCTCAAAGCGGTCCAAATCTCCCCTTTCAGATTCTACCAAAAGTGTGTTTCCAAACGGCTCTATCAAAGGGAATGTTCAACTCTGTGACTTGAATGCAATCATCACAAAGCAGTTTCTGAGAATGCTTCCATGTAGCTTTTAGGAGAAGATATTTCCTTTTCCACCCCAGGCCTCGAAGCCCTCCAAATGTCCCCTTGCAGATGCTAGAAAGAGAGGGTTTCAAAGCTGCTCTATCAAAAGGAAAGTACAACTCTGTGAGTTGAATGCAAACATCACAAAGAAGCTCCTGAGCATGCTTCCGTTTAGCTTTCATGGGAAGATTATCCCTTTTCCATCGAAATGTTCAAAGAGGTCCACATATCCGCTTGCAGATTCCACCGAAAGAGTGTTTCCAAACTGCTGTATCAAAAGGAATCTTCAACTCCGTGAGTTGAATGCAATCATCACAAAGAAGTTTCTGACAATGCTTCTCTCTAGTTTTTATGTGAAGATATTTCCTTTTCCACCACAGGCCTGAAAGCGCTCCAAATGTCCACTTGGAGACTCTACGAAAAGAATGTTTCAAAACTGCTCTATGAAAAGCAATGTTATACTCTGGGAGTTGAACACAAGCCTCACAAAGGACTTTCTGAGAATGCTTCTGTTTACTTTTTACGTGAAGATATTCCCGTTTCCAAAGAAATCTTCACAGACTTCCACCTATCCATTTGCAGATGCTAGAAAAAGACAGTTTCAAAACTGCTCTATCAAAAGGAATGTTCAACTCTGTGAGTTGAATGCAGTCATCACAGAGAAGTTTCTGAGAAGGCTTCTGTCTAGATTTTATGTGAAGATATACCCGTTTCGAACGAAGGCCACAAAGTGCTCCAAATATCCACTTGCAGGTCCTCCAACAAGAGTGTTTCAAACGTGAACTATCAAAGGAAGGTTCAACTCTGGACTTTGAATGCAAACGTCAGAAAGATGTTTCTGCGAAAGCTTCTGTTTAGTTAGGTGACGTTATCCCGTTTCCAAGGAAATCCTCAGAGAGGTCCAAATATCCACCTGCAGATTCTGCAAAAAGTGTGTTTCCAAACTGCTCCACCCAAAGGCATGTTCAGCTCTGTGAGTTAAACTCAATCATCACAAAGTATTTTCTGAGAATGCTTCTGTCCAGTTTTTACATGAAGCTGTTTCCTTTACTACCGTAGGCCTCAAAGCGTTCCAAATCTCCACTTGCAGATACTACGAAAAGGGCGTTTCAACCTGAACTCTCAAGGGAAGGTTCAACTCTGTCAGTTGAATGCCAACATCACAAAGAAGTTCTGGGAATGTTTCTCTTCAGTTATGTGAGTTTTATCCCGTTTCCAACGAAATTCTCAGAGAAGTACAAATATCCACTTGCATATTCTACAAAAAGTGTGTTTTGAAAGTGCTCCATCAAAAGATATGCTCAGCTCTGTGAGTTAAACTCAATCATCACAAAGAATTTTCTGAGAATGCTTCTGTCTTGTTTTAGGATGAAGTTATTTCCTTTACGACGATAGGCCTCAAAGAGGTCCAAATCTCCACTTGCAGATTCTGCAGAAGGAGTGTTTCAAACCTGAACTATCAGAGAAAGGTTCAACACTGTGAGTTGAATGCAAGCATCACGAAGAAGGTTCTGAGAATGCTTCTGTTTAGATAGGTGAGTTTTCTCCCGTATCCAACGAAATCCTCAGAGAGGTCCAAATATCCACTTGCAGATTCTACAGAAAGTGTGTTTTGAAACTGCTCCATCCAAAGGAATGTTCAGCTCTGTGAGTTGAACTCAATCGTCACAAAGTGTTTCCTGGGAATGCTACTGTCTAGTTTTTATGGGCAGTTATATCCTCTGCTGCCATAGGCCTCAAAGCGGTCCAAATCTCCCCTTTCAGATTCTACCAAAAGTGTGTTTCCAAACGGCTCTATCAAAGGGAATGTTCAACTCTGTGAGTTGCATGCAATCATCACAAAGCAGTTTCTGAGAATGCTTCCATGTAGCTTTTATGAGCAGATATTTCCTTTTCC
The DNA here is from genome assembly GCF_000001405.40 of Homo sapiens. Lineage (NCBI taxonomy): Eukaryota > Metazoa > Chordata > Mammalia > Primates > Hominidae > Homo > Homo sapiens. Next base: position 122,362,588 of record NC_000001.11, on the reverse strand, counting down.
ACCCCAGGCCTCGAAGCCCTCCAAATGTCCCCTGGCAGATGCTAGAAAGAGAGGGTTTCAAAGCTGCTCTATCAAAAGGAAAGTACAACTCTGTGAGTTGAATGCAAACATCACAAAGAAGTTCCTGAGCATGCTTCCGTTTAGCTTTTATGGGAAGATTATCCCTTTTCCATCGAAATGTTCAAAGGGTTCCACATATCCGCTTGCAGATTCCACCGAAAGAGTGTTTCCAAACTGCTGTATCAAAAGGAATCTTCAACTCCGTGAGTTGAATGCAATCATCACAAAGAAGTTTCTGACAATGCTTCTCTCTAGTTTTTATGTGAAGATATTTCCTTTTCCACCACAGGCCTGAAAGCGCTCCAAATGTCCACTTGGAGACTCTACGAAAAGAATGTTTCAAAACTGCTCTATGAAAAGCAATGTTATACTCTGGGAGTTGAACACAAGCCTCACAAAGGAGTTTCTGAGAATGCTTCTGTTTACTTTTTACGTGAAGATATTCCCGTTTCCAAAGAAATCTTCACAGGCTTCCACCTATCCATTTGCAGATGCTAGAAAAAGAGAGTTTCAAAACTGCTCTATCAAAAGGAATGTTCAACTCTGTGAGTTGAATGCAGTCATCACAGAGAAGTTTCCTGAGAAGGCTTTCTGTCTAGATTTTATGTGAAGATATACCCGTTTCGAACAAAGGCCACAAAGTGCTCCAAATATCCACTTGCAGGTCCTCCAACAAGAGTGTTTCAAACGTGAACTATCAAAGGAAGGTTCAACTCTGGACTTTGAATGCAAACGTCAGAAAGATGTTTCTGCGAAAGCTTCTGTTTAGTTAGGTGACGTTATCCCGTTTCCAACGAAATCCTCAGAGAGGTCCAAATATCCACCTGCAGATTCTGCAAAAAGTGTGTTTCCAAACTGCTCCACCCAAAGGCATGTTCAGCTCTGTGAGTTAAACTCAATCATCACAAAGTATTTTCTGAGAATGCTTCTGTCCAGTTGTTACATGAAGCTGTTTCCTTTACTACCGTAGGCCTCAAAGCGTTCCAAATCTCCACTTGCAGATACTATGAAAAGGGCGTTTCAACCTGAACTCACAAGGGAAGGTTCAACTCTGTCAGTTGAATGCCAACATCACAAAGAAGTTCTGGGAATGTTTCTCTTCAGTTATGTGAGTTTTATCCCGTTTCCAACGAAATTCTCAGAGAAGTACAAATATCCACTTGCATATTCTACACAAAGTGTGTTTTGAAAGTGCTCCATCAAAAGATATGCTCAGCTCTGTGAGGTAAACTCAATCATCACAAAGAATTTTCTGAGAATGCTTCTGTCTTGTTTTAGGATGAAGTTATTTCCTTTACGACGATAGGCCTCAAAGAGGTCCAAATCTCCACTTGCAGATTCTGCAGAAGGAGTGTTTCAAACCTGAACTATCAGAGAAAGGTTCAACACTGTGAGTTGAATGCAAGCATCACGAAGAAGGTTCTGAGAATGCTTCTGTTTAAATAGGTGAGTTTTCTCCCGTATCCAACGAAATCCTCAGAGAGGTCCAAATATCCACTTGCAGATTCTACAGAAAGTGTGTTTTGAAACTGCTCCATCCAAAGGAATGTTGAGCTCTGTGAGTTGAACTCAATCGTCACAAAGTGTTTCCTGGGAATGCTACTGTCTAGTTTTTATGGGCAGTTATATCCTCTGCTGCCATAGGCCTCAAAGCGGTCCAAATCTCCCCTTTCAGATTCTACCAAAAGTGTGTTTCCAAACGGCTCTATCAAAGGGAATGTTCAACTCTGTGACTTCAATGCAATCATCACAAAGCAGTTTCTGAGAATGCTTCCATGTAGCTTTTATGAGCAGATATTTCCTTTTCCACCCCAGGCCTCGAATCTCTCCAAATGTCCCCTGGCAGATGCTAGAAAGAGAGGGTTTCAAAGCTGCTCTATCAAAAGGAAAGTACAACTCTGTGAGTTGAATGCAAACATCACAAAGAAGTTCCTGAGCATGCTTCCGTTTAGCTTTTATGGGAAGATTATCCCTTTTCCATCGAAATGTTCCAAGAGGTCCACATATCCGCTTGCAGATTCCACCGAAAGAGTGTTTCCAAACTGCTGTATCGAAAGGAATCTTCAACTCCGTGAGTTGAATGCAATCATCACAAAGAAGTTTCTGACAACGCTTCTCTCTAGTTTTTATGTGAAGATAGTTCCTTTTCCACCACAGGCCTGAAAGCGCTCCAAATGTCCACTTGGAGACTCTACGAAAAGAATGTTTCAAAACTGCTCTATGAAAAGCAATGTTATACTCTGGGAGTTGAACACAAGCCTCACAAAGGAGTTTCTGAGAATGCTTCTGTTTACTTTTTACGTGAAGATATTCCCGTTTCCAAAGAAATCTTCACAGACTTCCACCTATCCATTTGCAGATGCTAGAAAAAGAGAGTTTCAAAACTGCTCTATCAAAAGGAATGTTCAACTCTGTGAGTTGAATGCAGTCATCACAGAGAAGTTTCTGAGAAGGCTTCTGTCTAGATTTTATGTGAAGATATAGCCGTTTCGAACAAAGGCCACAAAGTGCTCCAAATATCCACTTGCAGGTCCTCCAACAAGAGTGTTTCAAACGTGAACTATCAAAGGAAGGTTCAACTCTGGACTTTGAATGCAAACGTCAGAAAGATGTTTCTGCGAAAGCTTCTGTTTAGTTAGGTGACGTTATCCCGTTTCCAACGAAATCCTCAGAGAGGTCCAAATATCCACCTGCAGATTCTGCAAAAAGTGTGTTTCCAAACTGCTCCACCCAAAGGCATGTTCAGCTCTGTGAGTTAAACTCAATCATCACAAAGTATTTTCTGAGAATGCTTCTGTCCAGTTTTTACATGAAGCTGTTTCCTTTACTACCGTAGGCCTCAAAGCGTTCCAAATCTCCACTTGCAGATACTACGAAAAGGGCGTTTCAACCTGAACTCACAAGGGAAGGTTCAACTCTGTCAGTTGAATGCCAACATCACAAAGAAGTTCTGGGAATGTTCTCTTCAGTTATGTGAGTTTTATCCCGTTTCCAACGAAATTCTCAGAGAAGTACAAATATCCACTTGCATATTCTACAAAAAGTGTGTTTTGAAAGTGCTCCATCAAAAGATATGCTCAGCTCTGTGAGTTAAACTCAATCATCACAAAGAATTTTCTGAGAATGCTTCTGTCTTGTTTTAGGATGAAGTTATTTCCTTTACGACGATAGGCCTCAAAGAGGTCCAAATCTCCACTTGCAGATTCTGCAGAAGGAGTGTTTCAAACCTGAACTATCAGAGAAAGGTTCAACACTGTGAGTTGAATGCAAGCATCACGAAGAAGGTTCTGAGAATGCTTCTGTTTAGATAGGTGAGTTTTCTCCCGTATCCAACGAAATCCTCAGAGAGGTCCAAATATCCACTTGCAGATTCTACAGAAAGTGTGTTTTGAAACTGCTCCATCCAAAGGAATGTTCAGCTCTGTGAGTTGAACTCAATCGTCACAAAGTGTTTCCTGGGAATGCTACTGTCTAGTTTTTATGGGCAGTTATATCCTCTGCTGCCATAGGCCTCAAAGCGGTCCAAATCTCCCCTTTCAGATTCTACCAAAAGTGTGTTTCCAAACGGCTCTATCAAAGGGAATGTTCAACTCTGTGACTTGCATGCAATCATCACAAAGCAGTTTCTGAGAATGCTTCCATGTAGCTTTTAGGAGAAGATATTTCCTTTTCCACCCCAGGCCTTGAAGCCCTCCAAATGTCCCCTTGCAGATGCTAGAAAGAGAGGGTTTCAAAGCTGCTCTATCAAAAGGAAAGTACAACTCTGTGAGTTGAATGCAAACATCACAAAGAAGCTCCTGAGCATGCTTCCGTTTAGCTTTCATGGGAAGATTATCCCTTTTCCATCGAAATGTTCAAAGAGGTCCACATATCCGCTTGCAGATTCCACCGAAAGAGTGTTTCCAAACTGCTGTATCAAAAGGAATCTTCAACTCCGTGAGTTGAATGCAATCATCACAAAGAAGTTTCTGACAATGCTTCTCTCTAGTTTTTATGTGAAGATATTTCCTTTTCCACCACAGGCCTGAAAGCTCTCCAAATGTCCACTTGGAGACTCTACGAAAAGAATGTTTCAAAACTGCTCTATGAAAAGCAATGTTATACTCTGGGAGTTGAACACAAGCCTCACAAAGGAGTTTCTGAGAATGCTTCTGTTTACTTTTTACGTGAAGATATTCCCGTTTCCAAAGAAATCTTCACAGACTTCCACCTATCCATTTGCAGATGCTAGAAAAAGAGAGTTTCAAAACTGCTCTATCAAAAGGAATGTTCAACTCTGTGAGTTGAATGCAGTCATCACAGAGAAGTTTCTGAGAAGGCTTCTGTCTAGATTTTTTGTGAAGATATACCCGTTTCGAACGAAGGCCACAAAGTGCTCCAAATATCCACTTGCAGGTCCTCCAACAAGAGTGTTTCAAACGTGAACTATCAAAGGAAGGTTCAACTCTGGACTTTGAATGCAAACGTCAGAAAGATGTTTCTGCGAAAGCTTCTGTTTAGTTAGGTGACGTTATCCCGTTTCCAACGAAATCCTCAGAGAGGTCCAAATATCCACCTGCAGATTCTGCAAAAAGTGTGTTTCCAAACTGCTCCACCCAAAGGCATGTTCAGCTCTGTGAGTTAAACTCAATCATCACAAAGTATTTTCTGAGAATGCTTCTGTCCAGTTTTTACATGAAGCTGTTTCCTTTACTACCGTAGGCCTCAAAGCGTTCCAAATCTCCACTTGCAGATACTACGAAAAGAGCGTTTCAACCTGAACTCACAAGGGAAGGTTCAACTCTGTCAGTTGAATGCCAACATCACAAAGAAGTTCTGGGAATGTTTCTCTTCAGTTATGTGAGTTTTATCCCGTTTCCAACGAAATTCTCAGAGAAGTACAAATATCCACTTGCATATTCTACACAAAGTGTGTTTTGAAAGTGCTCCATCAAAAGATATGCTCAGCTCTGTGAGTTAAACTCAATCATCACAAAGAATTTTCTGAGAATGCTTCTGTCTTGTTTTAGGATGAAGTTATTTCCTTTACGACGATAGGCCTCAAAGAGGTCCAAATCTCCACTTGCAGATTCTGCAGAAGGAGTGTTTCAAACCTGAACTATCAGAGAAAGGTTCAACACTGTGAGTTGAATGCAAGCATCACGAAGAAGGTTCTGAGAATGCTTCTGTTTAGATAGGTGAGTTTTCTCCCGTATCCAACGAAATCCTCAGAGAGGTCCAAATATCCACTTGCAGATTCTACAGAAAGTGTGTTTTGAAACTGCTCCATCCAAAGGAATGTTCAGCTCTGTGAGTTGAACTCAATCGTCACAAAGTGTTTCCTGGGAATGCTACTGTCTAGTTTTTATGTGCAGTTATATCCTCTGCTGCCATAGGCCTCAAAGCGGTCCAAATCTCCCCTTTCAGATTCTGCCAAAAGTGTGTTTCCAAACGGCTCTATCAAAGGGAATGTTCAACTCTGTGACTTGAATGCAATCATCACAAAGCAGTTTCTGAGAATGCTTCCATGTAGCTTTTATGAGCAGATATTTCCTTTTCCACCCCAGGCCTCGAAGCCCTACAAATGTCCCCTTGCAGTTGCTAGAAAGAGAGGGTTTCAAAGCTGCTCTATCAAATTAAAGTACAACTCTGTGAGTTCAATGCAAACATCACAAAGAAGTTCCTGAGCATGCTTCCGTTTAGCTTTTATGGGAAGATTATCCCTTTTCCATCGAAATGTTCAAAGAGGTCCACATATCCGCTTGCAGATTCCACCGAAAGAGTGTTTCCAAACTGCTGTATCAACAGGAATCTTCAACTCCGTGAGTTGAATGCAATCATCACAAAGAAGTTTCTGACAATGCTTCTCTCTACTTTTTATGTGAAGATATTTCCTTTTCCACCACAGGCCGGAAAGCGCTCCAAATGTACACTTGGAGACTCTACAAAAAGAATGTTTCAAAACTGCTCTATGAAAAGCAATGTTATACTCTGGGAGATGAACACAAGCCTCACAAAGGAGTTTCTCAGAATGCTTCTGTTTACTTTTTACGTGAAGATATTCCCGTTTCCAAAGAAATCTTCACAGAGTTCCACCTATCCATTTGCAGATGCTAGAAAAAGAGAGTTTCAAAACTGCTCTATCAAAAGGAATTCTCAACTCTGTGATTTGAATGCAGTCATCACAGAGAAGTTTCTGAGAAGGCTTCTGTCTAGATTTTTTGTGAAGATATACCCGTTTCGAACGAAGACCGCAAAATGCTCCAAATATCCACTTGCAGGTCCTCCAACAAGAGTGTTTCAAACGTGAACTATCAAAGGAAGGTTCAACTCTGGACTTTGAATGCAAACGTCAGAAAGATGTTTCTGCGAAAGCTTCTGTTTAGTTAGGTGACGTTATCCCGTTTCCAACGAAATCCTCAGAGAGGTCCAAATATCCACCTGCAGATTCTGCAAAAAGTGTGTTTCCAAACTGCTCCACCCAAAGGAATGTTCAGCTCTGTGAGTTAAACTCAATCATCACAAAGTATTTTCTGAGAATGCTTCTGTCCAGTTTTTACATGAAGCTGTTTCCTTTACTACCGTAGGCCTCAAAGCGTTCCAAATCTCCACTTGCAGATACTACGAAAAGGGCGTTTCAACCTGAACTCACAAGGGAAGGTTCAACTCTGTCAGTTGAATGCCAACATCACAAAGAAGTTCTGGGAATGTTTCTCTTCAGTTATGTGAGTTTTATCCCGTTTCCAACGAAATTCTCAGAGAAGTACAAATATCCACTTGCATATTCTACAAAAAGTGTGTTTTGAAAGTGCTCCATCAAAAGATATGCTCAGCTCTGTGAGTTAAACTCAATCATCACAAAGAATTTTCTGAGAATGCTTCTGTCTTGTTTTAGGATGAAGTTATTTCCTTTACGACGATAGGCCTCAAAGAGGTCCAAATCTCCACTTGCAGATTCTGCAGAAGGAGTGTTTCAAACCTGAACTATCAGAGAAAGGTTCAACACTGTGAGTTGAATGCAAGCATCACGAAGAAGGTTCTGAGAATGCTTCTGTTTAGATAGGTGAGTTTTCTCCCGTATCCAACGAAATCCTCAGAGAGGTCCAAATATCCACTTGCAGATTCTACAGAAAGTGTGTTTTGAAACTGCTCCATCCAAAGGAATGTTCAGCTCTGTGAGTTGAACTCAATCGTCACAAAGTGTTTCCTGGGAATGCTACTGTCTAGTTTTTATGGGCAGTTATATCCTCTGCTGCCATAGGCCTCAAAGCGGTCCAAATCTCCCCTTTCAGATTCTACCAAAAGTGTGTTTCCAAACGGCTCTATCAAAGGGAATGTTCAACTCTGTGACTTGAATGCAATCATCACAAAGCAGTTTCTGAGAATGCTTCCATGTAGCTTTTATGAGCAGATATTTCCTTTTCCACCCCAGGCCTCGAAGCTCTCCAAATGTCCCCTGGCAGATGCTAGAAAGAGAGGGTTTCAAAGCTGCTCTATCAAAAGGAAAGTACAACTCTGTGAGTTGAATGCAAACATCACAAAGAAGTTCCTGAGCATGCTTCCGTTTAGCTTTCATGGGAAGATTATCCCTTTTCCATCGAAATGTTCAAAGAGGTCCACATATCCGCTTGCAGATTCCACCGAAAGAGTGTTTCCAAACTGCTGTATCAAAAGGAATCTTCAACTCCGTGAGTTGAATGCAATCATCACAAAGAAGTTTCTGACAATGCTTCTCTCTAGTTTTTATGTGAAGATATTTCCTTTTCCACCACAGGCCTGAAAGCGCTCCAAATGTCCACTTGGAGACTCTACGAAAAGAATGTTTCAAAACTGCTCTATGAAAAGCAATGTTATACTCTGGGAGTTGAACACAAGCCTCACAAAGGAGTTTCTGAGAATGCTTCTGTTTACTTTTTACGTGAAGATATTCCCGTTTCCAAAGAAATCTTCACAGACTTCCACCTATCCATTTGCAGATGCTAGAAAAAGAGAGTTTCAAAACTGCTCTATCAAAAGGAATGTTCAACTCTGTGAGTTGAATGCAGTCATCACAGAGAAGTTTCTGAGAAGGCTTCTGTCTAGATTTTATGTGAAGATATACCCGTTTCGAACGAAGGCCACAAAGTGCTCCAAATATCCACTTGCAGGTCCTCCAACAAGAGTGTTTCAAACGTGAACTATCAAAGGAAGGTTCAACTCTGGACTTTGAATGCAAACGTCAGAAAGATGTTTCTGCGAAAGCTTCTGTTTAGTTAGGTGACGTTATCCCGTTTCCAAGGAAATCCTCAGAGAGGTCCAAATATCCACCTGCAGATTCTGCAAAAAGTGTGTTTCCAAACTGCTCCACCCAAAGGCATGTTCAGCTCTGTGAGTTAAACTCAATCATCACAAAGTATTTTCTGAGAATGCTTCTGTCCAGTTTTTACATGAAGCTGTTTCCTTTACTACCGTAGGCCTCAAAGCGTTCCAAATCTCCACTTGCAGATACTACGAAAAGGGCGTTTCAACCTGAACTCACAAGGGAAGGTTCAACTCTGTCAGTTGAATGCCAACATCACAAAGAAGTTCTGGGAATGTTTCTCTTCAGTTATGTGAGTTTTATCCCGTTTCCAACGAAATTCTCAGAGAAGTACAAATATCCACTTGCATATTCTACACAAAGTGTGTTTTGAAAGTGCTCCATCAAAAGATATGCTCAGCTCTGTGAGTTAAACTCAATCATCACAAAGAATTTTCTGAGAATGCTTCTGTCTTGTTTTAGGATGAAGTTATTTCCTTTACGACGATAGGCCTCAAAGAGGTCCAAATCTCCACTTGCAGATTCTGCAGAAGGAGTGTTTCAAACCTGAACTATCAGAGAAAGGTTCAACACTGTGAGTTGAATGCAAGCATCACGAAGAAGGTTCTGAGAATGCTTCTGTTTAGATAGGTGAGTTTTCTCCCGTATCCAACGAAATCCTCAGAGAGGTCCAAATATCCACTTGCAGATTCTACAGAAAGTGTGTTTTGAAACTGCTCCATCCAAAGGAATGTTCAGCTCTGTGAGTTGAACTCAATCGTCACAAAGTGTTTCCTGGGAATGCTACTGTCTAGTTTTTATGGGCAGTTATATCCTCTGCTGCCATAGGCCTCAAAGCGGTCCAAATCTCCCCTTTCAGATTCTACCAAAAGTGTGTTTCCAAACGGCTCTATCAAAGGGAATGTTCAACTCTGTGACTTGAATGCAATCATCACAAATCAGTTTCTGAGAATGCTTCCATGTAGCTTTTAGGAGAAGATATTTCCTTTTCCACCCCAGGCCTCGAAGCCCTCCAAATGTCCCCTTGCAGATGCTAGAAAGAGAGGGTTTCAAAGCTGCTCTATCAAAAGGAAAGTACAACTCTGTGAGTTGAATGCAAACATCACAAAGAAGCTCCTGAGCATGCTTCCGTTTAGCTTTCATGGGAAGATTATCCCTTTTCCATCGAAATGTTCAAAGAGGTCCACATATCCGCTTGCAGATTCCACCGAAAGAGTGTTTCCAAACTGCTGTATCAAAAGGAATCTTCAACTCCGTGAGTTGAATGCAATCATCACAAAGAAGTTTCTGACAATGCTTCTCTCTAGTTTTTATGTGAAGATATTTCCTTTTCCACCACAGGCCTGAAAGCGCTCCAAATGTCCACTTGGAGACTCTACGAAAAGAATGTTTCAAAACTGCTCTATGAAAAGCAATGTTATACTCTGGGAGTTGAACACAAGCCTCACAAAGGACTTTCTGAGAATGCTTCTGTTTACTTTTTACGTGAAGATATTCCCGTTTCCAAAGAAATCTTCACAGACTTCCACCTATCCATTTGCAGATGCTAGAAAAAGACAGTTTCAAAACTGCTCTATCAAAAGGAATGTTCAACTCTGTGAGTTGAATGCAGTCATCACAGAGAAGTTTCTGAGAAGGCTTCTGTCTAGATTTTATGTGAAGATATACCCGTTTCGAACGAAGGCCACAAAGTGCTCCAAATATCCACTTGCAGGTCCTCCAACAAGAGTGTTTCAAACGTGAACTATCAAAGGAAGGTTCAACTCTGGACTTTGAATGCAAACGTCAGAAAGATGTTTCTGCGAAAGCTTCTGTATAGTTAGGTGACGTTATCCCGTTTCCAACGAAATCCTCAGAGAGGTCCAAATATCCACCTGCAGATTCTGCAAAAAGTGTGTTTCCAAACTGCTCCACCCAAAGGCATGTTCAGCTCTGTGAGTTAAACTCAATCATCACAAAGTATTTTCTGAGAATGCTTCTGTCCAGTTTTTACATGAAGCTGTTTCCTTTACTACCGTAGGCCTCAAAGGGTTCCAAATCTCCACTTGCAGATACTACGAAAAGAGCGATTAAACCTGAACTCACAAGGGAAGGTTCAACTCTGTCAGTTGAATGCCAACATCACAAAGAAGTTCTGAGAATGTTTCTCTTCAGTTATGTGAGGTTTATCCCGTTTCCCACGAAATTCTCAGAGAAGTCCAAATATCCACTTGGATATTCTACAAAAAGTGTGTTTTCAAAATGCTCCATCAAAAGATATGCTCAGCTCTGTGTGTTAAACTCAATCATCACAAAGAATTTTCTGAGAATGCTTCTGTCTTGTTTTTAGATGAGGTTATATCCTTTACTACGATAGGCCTCAAAGAGGTCCAAATCTCCACTTGCAGATTCTGCAGAAGGAGTGTTTAAAACCTGAACTATCAGAGAAAGGTTGAACACTGTGAGTTGAATGCAAGCATCACGAAGAAGGTTCTGAGAATGCTTCTGTTTAGATAGGTGAGTTTTCTCCCGTATCCAACGAAATCCTCAGAGAGGTCCAAATATCCACTTGCAGATTCTACAGAAAGTGTGTTTTGAAACTGCTCCATCCAAAGGAATGTTCAGCTCTGTGAGTTGAACTCAATCGTCACAAAGTGTTTCCTGAGAATGCTACTGTCTAGTTTTATGGGCAGTTATATCCTCTGCTGCCATAGGCCTCAAAGCGGTCCAAATCTCCCCTTTCAGATTCTACCAAAAGTGTGTTTCCAAACGGCTCTATCAAAGGGAATGTTCAACTCTGTGACTTGAATGCAATCATCACAAAGCAGTTTCTGATAATGCTTCCATGTAGCTTTAATGAGCAGATATTTCCTTTTCCACCCCAGGCCTCGAAGCCCTCCAAATGTCCCCTTGCAGATGCTAGAAAGAGAGGGTTTCAAAGCTGCTCTATCAAAAGGAAAGTACAACTCTGTGAGTTGAATGCAAACATCACAAAGAAGCTCCTGAGCATGCTTCCGTTTAGCTTTTATGGGAAGATTATCCCTTTTCCATCGAAATGTTCAAAGAGGTCCACATATCCGCTTGCAGATTCCACCGAAAGAGTGTTTCCAAACTGCTGTATCAAAAGGAATCTTCAACTCCGTGAGTTGAATGCAATCATCACAAAGAAGTTTCTGACAACGCTTCTCTCTAGTTTTTATGTGAAGATATTTCCTTTTCCACCACAGGCCTGAAAGCGCTCCAAATGTCCACTTGGAGACTCTACGAAAAGAATGTTTCAAAACTGCTCTATGAAAAGCAATGTTATACTCTGGGAGTTGAACACAAGCCTCACAAAGGAGTTTCTGAGAATGCTTCTGTTTACTTTTTACGTGAAGATATTCCCGTTTCCAAAGAAATCTTCACAGACTTCCACCTATCCATTTGCAGATGCTAGAAAAAGAGAGTTTCAAAACTGCTCTATCAAAAGGAATGTTCAACTCTGTGAGTTGAATGCAGTCATCACAGAGAAGTTTCTGAGAAGGCTTCTGTCTAGATTTTATGTGAAGATATACCCGTTTCGAACGAAGGCCACAAAGTGCTCCAAATATCCACTTGCAGGTCCTCCAACAAGAGTGTTTCAAACGTGAACTATCAAAGGAAGGTTCAACTCTGGACTTTGAATGCAAACGTCAGAAAGATGTTTCTGCGAAAGCTTCTGTTTAGTTAGGTGACGTTATCCCGTTTCCAAGGAAATCCTCAGAGAGGTCCAAATATCCACCTGCAGATTCTGCAAAAAGTGTGTTTCCAAACTGCTGCACCCAAAGGCATGTTCAGCTCTGTGAGTTAAACTCAATCATCACAAAGTATTTTCTGAGAATGCTTCTGTCCAGTTTTTACATGAAGCTGTTTCCTTTACTACCGTAGGCCTCAAAGCGTTCCAAATCTCCACTTGCAGATACTACGAAAAGGGCGTTTCAACCTGAACTCACAAGGGAAGGTTCAACTCTGTCAGTTGAATGCCAACATCACAAAGAAGTTCTGGGAATGTTTCTCTTCAGTTATGTGAGTTTTATCCCGTTTCCAACGAAATTCTCAGAGAAGTACAAATATCCACTTGCATATTCTACACAAAGTGTGTTTTGAAAGTGCTCCATCAAAAGATATGCTCAGCTCTGTGAGTTAAACTCAATCATCACAAAGAATTTTCTGAGAATGCTTCTGTCTTGTTTTAGGATGAAGTTATTTCCTTTACGACGATAGGCCTCAAAGAGGTCCAAATCTCCACTTGCAGATTCTGCAGAAGGAGTGTTTCAAACCTGAACTATCAGAGAAAGGTTCAACACTGTGAGTTGAATGCAAGCATCACGAAGAAGGTTCTGAGAATGCTTCTGTTTAGATAGGTGAGTTTTCTCCCGTATCCAACGAAATCCTCAGAGAGGTCCAAATATCCCCTTGCAGATTCTACAGAAAGTGTGTTTTGAAACTGCTCCATCCAAAGGAATGTTCAGCTCTGTGAGTTGAACTCAATCGTCACAAAGTGTTTCCTGGGAATGCTACTGTCTAGTTTTTATGTGCAGTTATATCCTCTGCTGCCATAGGCCTCAAAGCGGTCCAAATCTCCCCTTTCAGATTCTCCCAAAAGTGTGTTTCCAAACGGCTCTATCAAAGGGAATGTTCAAGTCTGTGACTTGAATGCAATCATCACAAAGCAGTTTCTGAGAATGCTTCCATGTAGCTTTTATGAGCAGATATTTCCTTTTCCACCCCAGGCCTCGAAGCCCTCCAAATGTCCCCTTGCAGATGCTAGAAAGAGAGGGTTTCAAAGCTGCTCTATCAAAAGGAAAGTACAACTCTGTGAGTTGAATGAAAACATCACAAAGAAGTTCCTGAGCATGCTTCCGTTTAGCTTTTATGGGAAGATTATCCCTTTTCCATCGAAATGTTCAAAGAGGTCCACATATCCGCTTGCAGATTCCACCGAAAGCGTGTTTCCAACCTGCTGTATCGAAAGGAATCTTCAACTCCGTGAGTTGAATGCAATCATCACAAAGAAGTTTCTGACAATGCTTCTCTCTAGTTTTTATGTGAAGATATTTCCTTTTCCACCACAGGCCTGAAAGCGCTCCAAATGTCCACTTGGAGACTCTACGAAAAGAATGTTTCAAAACTGCTCTATGAAAAGCAATGTTATACTCTGGGAGATGAACACAAGCCTCACAAAGGAGTTTCTCAGAATGCTTCTGTTTACTTTTTACGTGAGGATATTCCCGTTTCCAAAGAAATCTTCACAGAGTTCCACCTATCCATTTGCAGATGCCAGCAAAACTAGAGAGTTTCAAAACTGCTCTATCAAAAGGAATGTTCAACTCTGTGAGTTGCGTGCAATCATCACAGAGGAGTTTGTGAGAAGGCTAGATTTTATGTGAAGATATACCCGTTTCGAACGAAGGCCACAAAGTGCTCCAAATATCCACTTGCAGGTCCTCCAACAAGAGTATTTCAAACGTGAACTATCAAAGGAAGGTTCAACTCTGGACTTTGAATGCAAAAGTCAGAAAGATGTTTCTGCGAAAGCTTCTGTTTAGTTAGGTGACGTTATCCCGTTTCCAACGAAATCCTCAGACAGGTCCAAATATCCACCTGCAGATTCTGCAAAAAGTGTGTTTCCAAACTGCTCCACCCAAAGGCATGTTCAGCTGTGTGAGTTAAACTCAATCATCACAAAGCATTTTCTGAGAATGCTTCTGTCCAGTTTTTACATGAAGCTGTTTCCTTTACTACCGTATGCCTCAAAGCGTTCCAAATCTCCACTTGCAGATACTACGAAAAGAGCGTTTCAACCTGAACTCACAAGGGAAGGTTCAACTCTGTCAGTTGAATGTCAACATCACAAAGAATTTCTGGGAATGTTTCTCTTCAGTTATGTGAGTTTTATCCCGTTTCCAACGAAATTCTCAGAGAAGTACAAATATCCACTTGCATATTCTACAAAAAGTGTGTTTTGAAAGTGCTCCATCAAAAGATATGCTCAGCTCTGTGAGTTAAACTCAATCATCACAAAGAATTTTCTGAGAATGCTTCTGTCTTGTTTTAGGATGAAGTTATTTCCTTTACGACGATAGGCCTCAAAGAGGTCCAAATCTCCACTTGCAGATTCTGCAGAAGGAGTGTTTCAAACCTGAACTATCAGACAAAGGTTCAACACTGTGAGTTGAATGCAAGCATCACGAAGAAGGTTCTGAGAATGCTTCTGTTTAGATAGGTGAGTTTTCTCCCGTATCCAACGAAATCCTCAGAGAGGTCCAAATATCCACTTGCAGATTCTACAGAAAGTGTGTTTTGAAACTGCTCCATCCAAAGGAATGTTCAGCTCTGTGAGTTGAACTCAATCGTCACAAAGTGTTTCCTGGGAATGCTACTGTCTAGTTTTTATGGGCAGTTACATCCTCTGCTGCCATAGGCCTCAAAGCGGTCCAAATCTCCCCTTTCAGATTCTACCAAAAGTGTGTTTCCAAACGGCTCTATCAAAGGGAATGTTCAACTCTGTGACTTGAATGCAATCATCACAAAGCAGTTTCTGAGAATGCTTCCATGTAGCTTTTAGGAGAAGATATTTCCTTTTCCACCCCAGGCCTCGAAGCCCTCCAAATGTCCCCTTGCAGATGCTAGAAAGAGAGGGTTTCAAAGCTGCTCTATCAAAAGGAAAGTACAACTCTGTGAGTTGAATGCAAACATCACAAAGAAGCTCCTGAGCATGCTTCCGTTTAGCTTTTATGGGAAGATTATCCCTTTTCCATCGAAATGTTCAAAGGGTTCCACATATCCGCTTGCAGATTCCACCGAAAGAGTGTTTCCAAACTGCTGTATCAAAAGGAATCTTCAACTCCGTGAGTTGAATGCAATCATCACAAAGAAGTTTCTGACAATGCTTCTCTCTAGTTTTTATGTGAAGATATTTCCTTTTCCACCACAGGCCTGAAAGCGCTCCAAATGTCCACTTGGAGACTCTACGAAAAGAATGTTTCAAAACTGCTCTATGAAAAGCAATGTTATACTCTGGGAGTTGAACACAAGCCTCACAAAGGAGTTTCTGAGAATGCTTCTGTTTACTCTTTATGTGAAGATATTCCCGTTTCCAAAGAAATCTTCACAGAGTTCCACCTATCCATGGGCAGATTCTAGAGAAACAGAGTTTCGAAACTGCTCTATCCAAAGGAATGTTCAACTCTCTGAGTTGAATGCAATCATCACAGAGAGGTTACTGAGAAGGCTTCTGTCTGGATTTTATGTGAAGATATACCCGTTTCGAACGAAGGCCACAAAGTGCTCCAAATATCCACTTGCAGATCCTACAAAAAGAGTGTTTCAAACGTGAGCTATCGAAGGAAGGTTCAACTCTGGACTTTGAATGCAAATGTCCCAAAGAAGTTTCTGCGAAAGCTTCTGTTTAGTTAGGTGACGTTATCCCGTTTCCAACGAAATCCTCAGAGAGGTCCAAATATCCACTTGCAGATGCTACAAAAAGTGTGTTTCAAAACTGCTCCATCCAAAGGAATGTTCAGCTCTGTGAGTTACACTCAATCATCACAAAGTATTTTCTGAGAATGCTTCTGTCCAGTTTTTACATGAAGCTGTTTCCTTTACTACCGTAGGCCTCAAAGCGTTCCAAATCTCCACTTGCAGATACTACGAAAAGGGCGTTTCAACCTGAACTCACAAGGGAAGGTTCAACTCTGTCAGTTGAATGCCAACATCACAAAGAAGTTCTGGGAATGTTTCTCTTCAGTTATGTGAGTTTTATCCCGTTTCCAACGAAATTCTCAGAGAAGTACAAATATCCACTTGCATATTCTACAAAAAGTGTGTTTTGAAAGTGCTCCATCAAAAGATATGCTCAGCTCTGTGAGTTAAACTCAATCATCACAAAGAATTTTCTGAGAATGCTTCTGTCTTGTTTTAGGATGAAGTTATTTCCTTTACGACGATAGGCCTCAAAGAGGTCCAAATCTCCACTTGCAGATTCTGCAGAAGGAGTGTTTCAAACCTGAACTATCAGAGAAAGGTTCAACACTGTGAGTTGAATGCAAGCATCACGAAGAAGGTTCTGAGAATGCTTCTGTTTAGATAGGTGAGTTTTCTCCCGTATCCAACGAAATCCTCAGAGAGGTCCAAATATCCACTTGCAGATTCTACAGAAAGTGTGTTTTGAAACTGCTCCATCCAAAGGAATGTTCAGCTCTGTGAGTTGAACTCAATCGTCACAAAGTGTTTCCTGGGAATGCTACTGTCTAGTTTTTATGGGCAGTTATATCCTCTGCTGCCATAGGCCTCAAAGCGGTCCAAATCTCCCCTTTCAGATTCTACCAAAAGTGTGTTTCCAAACGGCTCTATCAAAGGGAATGTTCAACTCTGTGACTTGAATGCAATCATCACAAAGCAGTTTCTGAGAATGCTTCCCTGTAGCTTTTATGAGCAGATATTTCCTTTTCCACCCCAGGCCTCGAAGCCCTCCAAATGTCCCCTTGCAGATGCTAGAAAGAGAGGGTTTCAAAGATGCTCTATCAAAAGGAAAGTACAACTCTGTGAGTTGAATGCAAACATCACAAAGAAGTTCCTGAGCATGCTTCCGTTTAGCTTTTATGGGAAGATTATCCCTTTTCCATCGAAATATTCAAAGAGGTCCACATATCCGCTTGCAGATTCCACCGAAAGAGGGTTTCCAAATTGCTGTATCGAAAGGAATCTTCAACTCCGTGAGTTGAATGCAATCATCACAAAGAAGTTTCTGACAATGCTTCTCTCTAGTTTTTATGTGAAGATATTTCCTTTTCCACCACAGGCCTGAAAGCGCTCCAAATGTCCACTTGGAGAATCTACGAAAAGAATGTTTCAAAACTGCTCTATGAAAAGCAATGTTATACTCTGGGGGTTGAACACAAGCCTCACAAACGAGTTTCTGAGAATGCTTCTGTTTACTTTTTACGTGAAGACATTCCCGTTTCCTAAGAAATCTTCACAGAGTTCCACCTATCCATTTGCAGATGCTAGAAAAAGAGAGTTGCAAAACTGCTCTATCAAAAGGAATGTTCAACTCTGTGAGTTGAATGCAGTCATCACAGAGAAGTTTCTGAGAAGGCTTCTGTGTAGATTTTATGTGAAGATATACCCGTTTCGAACGAAGGCCACAAAGTGCTCCAAATATGCACTTGCATGTCCTCCAACAAGAGTGTTTCAAACGAGAACTATCAAAGGAAGGTTCAACTCTGGACTTTGAATGCAAACGTCAGAAAGATGTTTCTGCGAAAGCTTCTGTTTAGTTAGGTGACGTTATCCCGTTTCCAACGAAATCCTCAGAGAGGTCCAAATATCCACCTGCAGATTCTGCAAAAAGTGTGTTTCCAAACTGCTCCACCCAAAGGCATGTTCAGCTCTGTGAGTTAAACTCAATCATCACAAAGTATTTTCTGAGAATGCTTCTGTCCAGTTTTTACATGAAGCTGTCTCCTTTACTACCGTAGGCCTCAAAGCGTTCCAAATCTCCACTTGCAGATACTACGAAAAGAGCGTTTCAACCTGAACTCACAAGGGAAGGTTCAACTCTGTCAGTTGAATGCCAACATCACAAAGAAGTTCTGGGAATGTTTCTCTTCAGTTATGTGAGTTTTATCCCGTTTCCAACGAAATTCTCAGAGAAGTACAAATATCCACTTGCATATTCTACACAAAGTGTGTTTTGAAAGTGCTCCATCAAAAGATATGCTCAGCTCTGTGAGTTAAACTCAATCATCACAAAGAATTTTCTGAGAATGCTTCTGTCTTGTTTTAGGATGAAGTTATTTCCTTTACGACGATAGGCCTCAAAGAGGTCCAAATCTCCACTTGCAGATTCTGCAGAAGGAGTGTTTCAAACCTGAACTATCAGAGAAAGGTTCAACACTGTGAGTTGAATGCAAGCATCACGAAGAAGGTTCTGAGAATGCTTCTGTTTAGATAGGTGAGTTTTCTCCCGTATCCAACGAAATCCTCAGAGAGGTCCAAATATCCACTTGCAGATTCTACAGAAAGTGTGTTTTGAAACTGCTCCATCCAAAGGAATGTTCAGCTCTGTGAGTTGAACTCAGTCGTCACAAAGTGTTTCCTGGGAATGCTACTGTCTAGTTTTTATGTGCAGTTATATCCTCTGCTGCCATAGGCCTCAAAGCGGTCCAAATCTCCCCTTTCAGATTCTACCAAAAGTGTGTTTCCAAACGGCTCTATCAAAGGGAATGTTCAACTCTGTGACTTGAATGCAATCATCACAAAGCAGTTTCTGAGAATGCTTCCATGTAGCTTTTATGAGCAGATATTTCCTTTTCCACCCCAGGCCTGGAAGCCCTCCAAATGTCCCCTTGCAGATCCTAGAAAATGAGGGTTTCAAAGCTGCTCTATCAAAAGGAAAGTACAACTCTGTGAGTTGAATGCAAACATCACAAAGAAGTTCTTGAGCATGCTTCCGTTTAGCTTTTATGGGAAGATTATCCCTTTTCCATCGAAATGTTCAAAGAGGTCCACATATACGCTTGCAGATTCCACCGAAAGCGTGTTTCCAAACTGCTGTATCGAAAGGAATCTTCAACTCCGTGAGTTGAATGCAATCATCACAAAGAAGTTTCTGACAATGCTTCTCTCTAGTTTTTATGTGAAGATATTTCCTTTTCCACCACAGGCCTGAAAGCGCTCCAAATGTCCACTTGGAGACTCTACGAAAAGAATGTTTCAAAACTGCTCTATGAAAAGCAATGTTATACTCTGGGAGTTGAACACAAGCCTCACAAAGGAGTTTCTGAGAATGCTTCTGTTTACTTTTTACGTGATGATATTCCCGTTTCCAAAGAAATCTTCACAGAGGAGTTCCCCCTATCCATTTGCAGATGCTAGAAAAAGAGAGTTTCAAAACTGCTCTATCAAAAGGAATGTTCAACTCTGTGAGTTGAATGCAATCATCACAGAGAAGTTTCTGAGAAGTCTTCTGTCTAGATTTTTTGTGAAGATATACCCGTTTCGAACGAAGGCCACAAAGTGCTCCAAATATCCACTTGCAGGTCCTCCAACAAGAGTGTTTCAAACGTGAACTATCAAAGGAAGGTTCAACTCTGGACTTTGAATGCAAACGTCAGAAAGATGTTTCTGCGAAAGCTTCTGTTTAGTTAGGTGACGTTATCCCGTTTCCAACGAAATCCTCAGAGAGGTCCAAATATCCACCTGCAGATTCTGCAAAAAGTGTGTTTCCAAACTGCTCCACCCAAAGGCATGTTCAGCTCTGTGAGTTAAACTCAATCATCACAAAGTATTTTCTGAGAATGCTTCTGTCCAGTTTTTACATGAAGCTGTTTCCTTTACTACCGTAGGCCTCAAAGCGTTCCAAATCTCCACTTGCAGATACTACGAAAAGAGCGTTTCAACCTGAACTCACAAGGGAAGTTTCAACTCTGTCAGTTGAATGCCAACATCACAAAGAAGTTCTGGGAATGTTTCTCTTCAGTTATGTGAGTTTTATCCCGTTTCCAACGAAATTCTCAGAGAAGTACAAATATCCACTTGCATATTCTACAAAAAGTGTGTTTTGAAAGTGCTCCATCAAAAGATATGCTCAGCTCTGTGAGTTAAACTCAATCATCACAAAGAATTTTCTGAGAATGCTTCTGTCTTGTTTTAGGATGAAGTTATTTCCTTTACGACGATAGGCCTCAAAGAGGTCCAAATCTCCACTTGCAGATTCTGCAGAAGGAGTGTTTCAAACCTGAACTATCAGAGAAAGGTTCAACACTGTGAGTTGAATGCAAGCATCACGAAGAAGGTTCTGAGAATGCTTCTGTTTAGATAGGTGAGTTTTCTCCCGTATCCAACGAAATCCTCAGAGAGGTCCAAATATCCACTTGCAGATTCTACAGAAAGTGTGTTTTGAAACTGCTCCATCCAAAGGAATGTTCAGCTCTGTGAGTTGAACTCAATCGTCACAAAGTGTTTCCTGGGAATGCTACTGTCTAGTTTTTATGGGCAGTTATATCCTCTGCTGCCATAGGCCTCAAAGCGGTCCAAATCTCCCCTTTCAGATTCTACCAAAAGTGTGTTTCCAAACGGCTCTATCAAAGGGAATGTTCAACTCTGTGACTTGCATGCAATCATCACAAAGCAGTTTCTGAGAATGCTTCCATGTAGCTTTTAGGAGAAGATATTTCCTTTTCCACCCCAGGCCTCGAAGCCCTCCAAATGTCCCCTTGCAGATGCTAGAAAGAGAGGGTTTCAAAGCTGCTCTATCAAAAGGAAAGTACAACTCTGTGAGTTGAATGCAAACATCACAAAGAAGCTCCTGAGCATGCTTCCGTTTAGCTTTCATGGGAAGATTATCCCTTTTCCATCGAAATGTTCAAAGAGGTCCACATATCCGCTTGCAGATTCCACCGAAAGAGTGTTTCCAAACTGCTGTATCAAAAGGAATCTTCAACTCCGTGAGTTGAATGCAATCATCACAAAGAAGTTTCTGACAATGCTTCTCTCTAGTTTTTATGTGAAGATATTTCCTTTTCCACCACAGGCCTGAAAGCGCTCCAAATGTCCACTTGGAGACTCTACGAAAAGAATGTTTCAAAACTGCTCTATGAAAAGCAATGTTATACTCTGGGAGTTGAACACAAGCCTCACAAAGGAGTTTCTGAGAATGCTTCTGTTTACTTTTTACGTGAAGATATTCCCGTTTCCAAAGAAATCTTCACAGACTTCCACCTATCCATTTGCAGATGCTAGAAAAAGAGAGTTTCAAAACTGCTCTATCAAAAGGAATGTTCAACTCTGTGAGTTGAATGCAGTCATCACAGAGAAGTTTCTGAGAAGGCTTCTGTCTAGATTTTATGTGAAGATATACCCGTTTCGAACAAAGGCCACAAAGTGCTCCAAATATCCACTTGCAGGTCCTCCAACAAGAGTGTTTCAAACGTGAACTATCAAAGGAAGGTTCAACTCTGGACTTTGAATGCAAACGTCAGAAAGATGTTTCTGCGAAACCTTCTGTTTAGTTAGGTGACGTTATCCCGTTTCCAACGAAATCCTCAGAGAGGTCCAAATATCCACCTGCAGATTCTGCAAAAAGTGTGTTTCCAAACTGCTCCACCCAAAGGCATGTTCAGCTCTGTGAGTTAAACTCAATCATCACAAAGTATTTTCTGAGAATGCTTCTGTCCAGTTTTTACATGAAGCTGTTTCCTTTACTACCGTAGGCCTCAAAGCGTTCCAAATCTCCACTTGCAGATACTACGAAAAGGGCGTTTCAACCTGAACTCACAAGGGAAGGTTCAACTCTGTCAGTTGAATGCCAACATCACAAAGAAGTTCTGGGAATGTTTCTCTTCAGTTATGTGAGTTTTATCCCGTTTCCAACGAAATTCTCAGAGAAGTACAAATATCCACTTGCATATTCTACAAAAAGTGTGTTTTGAAAGTGCTCCATCAAAAGATATGCTCAGCTCTGTGAGTTAAACTCAATCATCACAAAGAATTTTCTGAGAATGCTTCTGTCTTGTTTTAGGATGAAGTTATTTCCTTTACGACGATAGGCCTCAAAGAGGTCCAAATCTCCACTTGCAGATTCTGCAGAAGGAGTGTTTCAAACCTGAACTATCAGAGAAAGGTTCAACACTGTGAGTTGAATGCAAGCATCACGAAGAAGGTTCTGAGAATGCTTCTGTTTAGATAGGTGAGTTTTCTCCCGTATCCAACGAAATCCTCAGAGAGGTCCAAATATCCACTTGCAGATTCTACCGAAAGTGTGTTTTGAAACTGCTCCATCCAAAGGAATGTTCAGCTCTGTGAGTTGAACTCAATCGTCACAAAGTGTTTCCTGGGAATGCTACTGTCTAGTTTTTATGGGCAGTTATATCCTCTGCTGCCATAGGCCTCAAAGCGGTCCAAATCTCCCCTTTCAGATTCTACCAAAAGTGTGTTTCCAAACGGCTCTATCAAAGGGAATGTTCAACTCTGTGACTTGAATGCAATCATCACAAAGCAGTTTCTGAGAATGCTTCCATGTAGCTTTTATGAGAAGATATTTCCTTTTCCACCCCAGGCCTCGAAGCCCTCCAAATGTCCCCTGGCAGATGCTAGAAAGAGAGGGTTTCAAAGCTGCTCTATCAAAAGGAAAGTACAACTCTGTGAGATGAATGCAAACATCACAAAGAAGTTCCTGAGCATGCTTCCGTTTAGCTTTTATGGGAAGATTATCCCTTTTCCATCGAAATGTTCAAAGGGTTCCACATATCCGCTTGCAGATTCCACCGAAAGAGTGTTTCCAAACTGCTGTATCAAAAGGAATCTTCAACTCCGTGAGTTAAATGCAATCATCACAAAGAAGTTTCTGACAATGCTTCTCTCTAGATTTTATGTGAAGATATCAGGCCTGAAAGCGCTCCAAATGTCCACTTGCAGACTCTACGAAAGGAATGTTTCAAAACTGCTCTCTGAAAAGCAATGTTAAACTCTGGGAGTTGAACACAAGCCTCACAAAGAAGTTTCTGAGAATGCTTCGGTTTACTTTTTATGTGAAGATATTCCCGTTTCCAAAGAAATCTTCACAGAGGTCCACATATCCACTTGCGGATTCTACAAAAAGAGAGTTTCAAAACTGCTCTATCAAAAGGAATGTTCAACTCTGTGAGTTGCATGCAATCATCACAGAGAAGTTTCTGAGAAGGCTTCTGTCTAGATTTTATGTGAAGATATACCCGTTTCGAACGAAGGCCACAAAGTGCTCCAAATATCCACTTGCAGATCCTTCAAAAAGAGTGTTTCAAAAGTGAACTATCAAAGGAAGGTTCAACTCTGGGCTTTGAATGCAAACATCACAAAGAAGTTTCTGCGAAAGCTTCTGTTTAGTTAGGTGACGTTATCCCGTTTCCAACGAAATCCTCAGAGAGGTCCAAATATCCACTTGCAGATTCTACAAAAAGTGTGTTTCAAAACTGCTCCATCCAAAGGCATGTTGTGCTCTGTGAGTTAAATTCAATCATCAGAAAGAATTTTCTAAGAATGCTTCTGTCCAGTTTTTACATGAAGCTGTTTCCTTTACTACCGTAGGCCTCAAAGCGTTCCAAATCTCCACTTGCAGATACTACGAAAAGAGCGTTTCAACCTGAACTCACAAGGGAAGGTTCAACTCTGTCAGTTGAATGCCAACATCACAAAGAAGTTCTGGGAATGTTTCTCTTCAGTTATGTGAGTTTTATCCCGTTTCCAACGAAATTCTCAGAGAAGTACAAATATCCACTTGCATATTCTACAAAAAGTGTGTTTTGAAAGTGCTCCATCAAAAGATATGCTCAGCTCTGTGAGTTAAACTCAATCATCACAAAGAATTTTCTGAGAATGCTTCTGTCTTGTTTTAGGATGAAGTTATTTCCTTTACGACGATAGGCCTCAAAGAGGTCCAAATCTCCACTTGCAGATTCTGCAGAAGGAGTGTTTCAAACCTGAACTATCAGAGAAAGGTTCAACACTGTGAGTTGAAAGCAAGCATCACGAAGAAGGTTCTGAGAATGCTTCTGTTTAGATAGGTGAGTTTTCTCCCGTATCCAACGAAATCCTCAGAGAGGTCCAAATATCCACTTGCAGATTCTACAGAAAGTGTGTTTTGAAACTGCTCCATCCAAAGGAATGTTCAGCTCTGTGAGTTGAACTCAATCGTCACAAAGTGTTTCCTGGGAATGCTACTGTCTAGTTTTTATGGGCAGTTATATCCTCTGCTGCCATAGGCCTCAAAGCGGTCCAAATCTCCCCTTTCAGATTCTACCAAAAGTGTGTTTCCAAACGGCTCTATCAAAGGGAATGTTCAACTCTGTGACTTGAATGCAATCATCACAAAGCAGTTTCTGAGAATGCTTCCATGTAGCTTTAATGAGCAGATATTTCCTTTTCCACCCCAGGCCTCGAAGCCCTCCAAATGTCCCCTTGCAGATGCTAGAAAGAGAGGGTTTCAAAGCTGCTCTATCAAAAGGAAAGTACAACTCTGTGAGTTGAATGCAAACATCACAAAGAAGTTCCTGAGCATGCTTCCGTTTAGCTTTCATGGGAAGATTATCCCTTTTCCATCGAAATGTTCAAAGAGGTCCACATATCCGCTTGCAGATTCCACCGAAAGAGTGTTTCCAAACTGCTGTATCAAAAGGAATCTTCAACTCCTTGAGTTGAATGCAATCATCACAAAGAAGTTTCTGACAATGCTTCTCTATAGTTTTTATGTGAAAATATTTCCTTTTCCACCACAGGCCTGAAAGCGCTCCAAATGTCCACTTGGAGACTCTACGAAAAGAATGTTTCAAAACTGCTCTATGAAAAGCAATGTTATACTCTGGGAGTTGAACACAAGCCTCACAAAGGAGTTTCTGAGAATGCTTCTGTTTACTTTTTACGTGAAGATATTCCCGTTTCCAAAGAAATCTTCACAGACTTCCACCTATCCATTTGCAGATGCTAGAAAAAGAGAGTTTCAAAACTGCTCTATCAAAAGGAATGTTCAACTCTGTGAGTTGAATGCAGTCATCACAGAGAAGTTTCTGAGAAGGCTTCTGTCTAGATTTTATGTGAAGATATACCCGTTTCGAACGAAGGCCACAAAGTGCTCCAAATATCCACTTGCAGGTCCTCCAACAAGAGTGTTTCAAACGTGAACTATCAAAGGAAGGTTCAACTCTGGACTTTGAATGCAAACGTCAGAAAGATGTTTCTGCGAAAGCTTCTGTTTAGTTAGGTGACGTTATCCCGTTTCCAACGAAATCCTCAGAGAGGTCCAAATATCCACCTGCAGATTCTGCAAAAAGTGTGTTTCCAAACTGCTCCACCCAAAGGCATGTTCAGCTCTGTGAGTTAAACTCAATCATCACAAAGTATTTTCTGAGAATGCTTCTGTCCAGTTTTTACATGAAGCTGTTTCCTTTACTACCGTAGGCCTCAAAGCGTTCCAAATCTCCACTTGCAGATACTACGAAAAGGGCGTTTCAACCTGAACTCACAAGGGAAGGTTCAACTCTGTCAGTTGAATGCCAACATCACAAAGAAGTTCTGGGAATGTTTCTCTTCAGTTATGTGAGTTTTATCCCGTTTCCAACGAAATTCTCAGAGAAGTACAAATATCCACTTGCATATTCTACACAAAGTGTGTTTTGAAAGTGCTCCATCAAAAGATATGCTCAGCTCTGTGAGTTAAACTCAATCATCACAAAGAATTTTCTGAGAATGCTTCTGTCTTGTTTTAGGATGAAGTTATTTCCTTTACGACGATAGGCCTCAAAGAGGTCCAAATCTCCACTTGCAGATTCTGCAGAAGGAGTGTTTCAAACCTGAACTATCAGAGAAAGGTTCAACACTGTGAGTTGAATGCAAGCATCACGAAGAAGGTTCTGAGAATGCTTCTGTTTAGATAGGTGAGTTTTCTCCCGTATCCAACGAAATCCTCAGAGAGGTCCAAATATCCCCTTGCAGATTCTACAGAAAGTGTGTTTTGAAACTGCTCCATCCAAAGGAATGTTCAGCTCTGTGAGTTGAACTCAATCGTCACAAAGTGTTTCCTGGGAATGCTACTGTCTAGTTTTTATGGGCAGTTATATCCTCTGCTGCCATAGGCCTCAAAGCGGTCCAAATCTCCCCTTTCAGATTCTACCAAAAGTGTGTTTCCAAACGGCTCTATCAAAGGGAATGTTCAACTCTGTGACTTGAATGCAATCATCACAAAGCAGTTTCTGAGAATGCTTCCCTGTAGCTTTTATGAGCAGATATTTCCTTTTCCACCCCAGGCCTCGAAGCCCTCCAAATGTCCCCTTGCAGATGCTAGAAAGAGAGGGTTTCAAAGATGCTCTATCAAAAGGAAAGTACAACTCTGTGAGTTGAATGCAAACATCACAAAGAAGTTCCTGAGCATGCTTCCGTTTAGCTTTTATGGGAAGATTATCCCTTTTCCATCGAAATGTTCAAAGAGGTCCACATATCCGCTTGCAGATTCCACCGAAAGAGTGTTTCCAAACTGCTGTATCAAAAGGAATCTTCAACTCCGTGAGTTGAATGCAATCATCACAAAGAAGTTTCTGACAACGCTTCGCTCTAGTTTTTATGTGAAGATATTTCCTTTTCCACCACAGGCCTGAAAGCGCTCCAAATGTCCACTTGGAGACTCTACGAAAAGAATGTTTCAAAACTGCTCTATGAAAAGCAATGTTATACTCTGGGAGTTGAACACAAGCCTCACAAAGGAGTTTCTGAGAATGCTTCTGTTTACTTTTTACGTGAAGATATTCCCGTTTCCAAAGAAATCTTCACAGACTTCCACCTATCCATTTGCAGATGCTAGAAAAAGAGAGTTTCAAAACTGCTCTATCAAAAGGAATGTTCAACTCTGTGAGTTGAATGCAGTCATCACAGAGAAGTTTCTGAGAAGGCTTCTGTCTAGATTTTATGTGAAGATATAGCCGTTTCGAACAAAGGCCACAAAGTGCTCCAAATATCCACTTGCAGGTCCTCCAACAAGAGTGTTTCAAACGTGAACTATCAAAGGAAGGTTCAACTCTGGACTTTGAATGCAAACGTCAGAAAGATGTTTCTGCGAAAGCTTCTGTTTAGTTAGGTGACGTTATCCCGTTTCCAACGAAATCCTCAGAGAGGTCCAAATATCCACCTGCAGATTCTGCAAAAAGTGTGTTTCCAAACTGCTCCACCCAAAGGCATGTTCAGCTCTGTGAGTTAAACTCAATCATCACAAAGTATTTTCTGAGAATGCTTCTGTCCAGTTTTTACATGAAGCTGTTTCCTTTACTACCGTAGGCCTCAAAGCGTTCCAAATCTCCACTTGCAGATACTACGAAAAGAGCGTTTCAACCTGAACTCACAAGGGAAGGTTCAACTCTTTCAGTTCAATGCCAACATCACAAAGAAATTCTGGGAATGTTTCTCTTCAGTTATGTGAGTTTTATCCCGTTTCCAACGAAATTCTCAGAGAAGTACAAATATCCACTTGCATGTTCTACAAAAAGTGTGTTTTGAAAGTGCTCCATCAAAAGATATGCTCAGCTCTGTGAGTTAAACTCAATCATCACAAAAATTTTCTGAGAATGCTTCTGTCTTGTTTTAGGATGAAGTTATTTCCTTTACGACGATAGGCCTCAAAGAGGTCCAAATCTCCACTTGCAGATTCTGCAGAAGGAGTGTTTCAAACCTGAACTATCAGAGAAAGGTTCAACACTGTGAGTTGAATGCAAGCATCACGAAGAAGGTTCTGAGAATGCTTCTGTTTAGATAGGTGAGTTTTCTCCCGTATCCAACGAAATCCTCAGAGAGGTCCAAATATCCACTTGCAGATTCTACAGAAAGTGTGTTTTGAAACTGCTCCATCCAAAGGAATGTTCAGCTCTGTGAGTTGAACTCAATCGTCACAAAGTGTTTCCTGGGAATGCTACTGTCTAGTTTTTATGGGCAGTTATATCCTCTGCTGCCATAGGCCTCAAAGCGGTCCAAATCTCCCCTTTCAGATTCTACCAAAAGTGTGTTTCCAAACGGCTCTATCAAAGGGAATGTTCAACTCTGTGACTTGAATGCAATCATCACAAAGCAGTTTCTGAGAATGCTTCCATGTAGCTTTTAGGAGAAGATATTTCCTTTTCCACCCCAGGCCTCGAAGCCCTCCAAATGTCCCCTTGCAGATGCTAGAAAGAGAGGGTTTCAAAGCTGCTCTATCAAAAGGAAAGTACAACTCTGTGAGTTGAATGCAAACATCACAAAGAAGCTCCTGAGCATGCTTCCGTTTAGCTTTCATGGGAAGATTATCCCTTTTCCATCGAAATGTTCAAAGAGGTCCACATATCCGCTTGCAGATTCCACCGAAAGAGTGTTTCCAAACTGCTGTATCAAAAGGAATCTTCAACTCCGTGAGTTGAATGCAATCATCACAAAGAAGTTTCTGACAATGCTTCTCTCTAGTTTTTATGTGAAGATATTTCCTTTTCCACCACAGGCCTGAAAGCGCTCCAAATGTCCACTTGGAGACTCTACGAAAAGAATGTTTCAAAACTGCTCTATGAAAAGCAATGTTATACTCTGGGAGTTGAACACAAGCCTCACAAAGGAGTTTCTGAGAATGCTTCTGTTTACTTTTTACGTGAAGATATTCCCGTTTCCAAAGAAATCTTCACAGAGTTCCACCTATCCATTTGCAGATGCTAGAAAAAGAGAGTTTCAAAACTGCTCTATCAAAAGGAATGTTCAACTCTGTGAGTTGAATGCAGTCATCACAGAGAAGTTTCTGAGAAGGCTTCTGTCTAGATTTTATGTGAAGATATACCCGTTTCGAACAAACGCCACAAAGTGCTCCAAATATCCACTTGCAGGTCCTCCAACAAGAGTGTTTCAAACGTGAACTATCAAAGGAAGGTTCAACTCTGGACTTTGAATGCAAACGTCAGAAAGATGTTTCTGCGAAAGCTTCTGTTTAGTTAGGTGACGTTATCCCGTTTCCAACGAAATCCTCAGAGAGGTCCAAATATCCACCTGCAGATTCTGCAAAAAGTGTGTTTCCAAACTGCTCCACCCAAAGGCATGTTCAGCTCTGTGAGTTAAACTCAATCATCACAAAGTATTTTCTGAGAATGCTTCTGTCCAGTTTTTACATGAAGCTGTTTCCTTTACTACCGTAGGCCTCAAAGCGTTCCAAATCTCCACTTGCAGATACTACGAAAAGAGCGTTTCAACCTGAACTCACAAGGGAAGGTTCAACTCTGTCAGTTGAATGCCAACATCACAAAGAAGTTCTGGGAATGTTTCTCTTCAGTTATGTGAGTTTTATCCCGTTTCCAACGAAATTCTCAGAGAAGTACAAATATCCACTTGCATATTCTACAAAAAGTGTGTTTTGAAAATGCTCCATCAAAAGATATGCTCAGCTCTGTGAGTTAAACTCAATCATCACAAAGAATTTTCTGAGAATGCTTCTGTCTTGTCTTAGGATGAAGTTATTTCCTTTACGACGATAGGCCTCAAAGAGGTCCAAATCTCCACTTGCAGATTCTGCAGAAGGAGTGTTTCAAACCTGAACTATCAGAGAAAGGTTCAACACTGTGAGTTGAATGCAAGCATCACGAAGAAGGTTCTGAGAATGCTCTGTTTAGATAAGTGAGTTTTCTCCCGTATCCAACGAAATCCTCAGAGAGGTCCAAATATCCACTTGCAGAATCTACAGAAAGTGTGTTTGGAAACTGCTCCATCCAAAGGAATGTTCAGCTACTGTGAGTTGAACTCAATCGTCACAAAGTGTTTCCTGGGAATGCTAACTGTCTAGTTTTTATGGGCAGTTATATCCTCTGCTGCCATAGGCCTCAAAGCGGTCCAAATCTCCCCTTTCAGATTCTACCAAAAGTGTGTTTCCAAATGGCTCTATCAAAGGGAATGTTCAACTCTGTGACTTGAATGCAATCATCACAAAGCAGTTTCTGAGAATGCTTCCATGTAGCTTTTAGGAGAAGATATTTCCTTTTCCACCCCAGGCCTCGAAGCCCTCCAAATGTCCCCTTGCAGATGCTAGAAAGAGAGGGTTTCAAAGCTGCTCTATCAAAAGGAAAGTACAACTCTGTGAGTTGAATGCAAACATCACAAAGAAGTTCCTGAGCATGCTTCCGTTTAGCTTTCATGGGAAGATTATCCCTTTTCCATCGAAATGTTCAAAGAGGTCCACATATCCGCTTGCAGATTCCACCGAAAGAGTGTCTCCAAACTGCTGTATCAAAAGGAATCTTCAACTCCGTGAGTTGAATGCAATCATCACAAAGAAGTTTCTGACAATGCTTCTCTCTAGTTTTTATGTGAAGATATTTCCTTTTCCACCACAGGCCTGAAAGCGCTCCAAATGTCCACTTGGAGACTCTACGAAAAGAATGTTTCAAAACTCCTCTATGAAAAGCAATGTTATACTCTGGGAGTTGAACACAAGCCTCACAAAGGACTTTCTGAGAATGCTTCTGTTTACTTTTTACGTGAAGATATTCCCGTTTCCAAAGAAATCTTCACAGACTTCCACCTATCCATTTGCAGATGCTAGAAAAAGAGAGTTTCAAAACTGCTCTATCAAAAGGAATGTTCAACTCTGTGAGTTGAATGCAGTCATCACAGAGAAGTTTCTGAGAAGGCTTCTGTCTAGATTTTATGTGAAGATATACCCGTTTCGAACGAAGGCCACAAAGTGCTCCAAATATCCACTTGCAGGTCCTCCAACAAGAGTGTTTCAAACGTGAACTATCAAAGGAAGGTTCAACTCTGGACTTTGAATGCAAACGTCAGAAAGATGTTTCTGCGAAAGCTTCTGTTTAGTTAGGTGACGTTATCCCGTTTCCAACGAAATCCTCAGAGAGGTCCAAATATCCACCTGCAGATTCTGCAAAAAGTGTGTTTCCAAACTGCTCCACCCAAAGGCATGTTCAGCTCTGTGAGTTAAACTCAATCATCACAAAGTATTTTCTGAGAAAGCTTCTGTCCAGTTTTTACATGAAGCTGTTTCCTTTACTACCGTAGGCGTCAAAGCGTTCCAAATCTCCACTTGCAGATACTACGAAAAGGGCGTTTCAACCTGAACTCACAAGGGAAGGTTCAACTCTGTCAGTTGAATGCCAACATCACAAAGAAGTTCTGGGAATGTTTCTCTTCAGTTATGTGAGTTTTATCCCGTTTCCAACGAAATTCTCAGAGAAGTACAGATATCCACTTGCATATTCTACAAAAAGTGTGTTTTGAAAGTGCTCCATCAAAAGATATGCTCAGCTCTGTGAGTTAAACTCAATCATCACAAAGAATTTTCTGAGAATGCTTCTGTCTTGTTTTAGGATGAAGTTATTTCCTTTACGACGATAGGCCTCAAAGAGGTCCAAATCTCCACTTGCAGATTCTGCAGAAGGAGTGTTTCAAACCTGAACTATCAGAGAAAGGTTCAACACTGTGAGTTGAATGCAAGCATCACGAAGAAGGTTCTGAGAATGCTTCTGTTTAGATAGGTGAGTTTTCTCCCGTATCCAACGAAATCCTCAGAGAGGTCCAAATATCCACTTGCAGATTCTACAGAAAGTGTGTTTTGAAACTGCTCCATCCAAAGGAATGTTCAGCTCTGTGAGTTGAACTCAATCGTCACAAAGTGTTTCCTGGGAATGCTACTGTCTAGTTTTTATGGGCAGTTATATCCTCTGCTGCCATAGGCCTCAAAGCGGTCCAAATCTCCCCTTTCAGATTCTACCAAAAGTGTGTTTCCAAACGGCTCTATCAAAGGGAATGTTCAACTCTGTGACTTGAATGCAATCATCACAAAGCAGTTTCTGAGAATGCTTCCATGTAGCTTTTATGAGCAGATATTTCCTTTTCCACCCCAGGCCTCGAAGCCCTCCAAATGTCCCCTTGCAGATGCTAGAAAGAGAGGGTTTCAAAGCTGCTCTATCAAAAGGAAAGTACAACTCTGTGAGATGAATGCAAACATCACAAAGAAGTTCCTGAGCATGCTTCCGTTTAGCTTTTATGGGAAGATTATCCCTTTTCCATCGAAATGTTCAAAGAGGTCCACATATCCGCTTGCAGATTCCACCGAAAGAGCGTTTCCAAACTGCTGTATCAAAAGGAATCTTCAACTCCGTGAGTTGAATGCAATCATCACAAAGAAGTTTCTGACAACGCTTCTCTCTAGTTTTTATATGAAGATATTTCCTTTTCCACCACAGGCCTGAAAGCGCTCCAAATGTCCACTTGGAGACTCTACGAAAAGAATGTTTCAAAACTGCTCTATGAAAAGCAATGTTATACTCTGGGAGTTGAACACAAGCCTCACAAAGGAGTTTCTGAGAATGCTTCTGTTTACTTTTTACGTGAAGATATTCCCGTTTCCAAAGAAATCTTCACAGGCTTCCACCTATCCATTTGCAGATGCTAGAAAAAGAGAGTTTCAAAACTGCTCTATCAAAAGGAATGTTCAACTCTGTGAGTTGAATGCAGTCATCACAGAGAAGTTTCTGAGAAGGCTTCTGTCTAGATTTTATGTGAAGATATACCCGTTTCGAACAAAGGCCACAAAGTGCTCCAAATATCCACTTGCAGGTCCTCCAACAAGAGTGTTTCAAACGTGAACTATCAAAGGAAGGTCCAACTCTGGACTTTGAATGCAAACGTCAGAAAGATGTTTCTGCGAAAGCTTCTGTTTAGTTAGGTGACGTTATCCCGTTTCCAACGAAATCCTCAGAGAGGTCCAAATATCCACCTGCAGATTCTGCAAAAAGTGTGTTTCCAAACTGCTCCACCCAAAGGCATGTTCAGCTCTGTGAGTTAAACTCAATCATCACAAAGTATTTTCTGAGAATGCTTCTGTCCAGTTTTTACATGAAGCTGTTTCCTTTACTACCGTAGGCCTCAAAGCGTTCCAAATCTCCACTTGCAGATACTACGAAAAGAGCGTTTCAACCTGAACTCACAAGGGAAGGTTCAACTCTTTCAGTTCAATGCCAACATCACAAAGAAATTCTGGGAATGTTTCTCTTCAGTTATGTGAGTTTTATCCCGTTTCCAACGAAATTCTCAGAGAAGTACAAATATCCACTTGCATATTCTACAAAAAGTGTGTTTTGAAAGTGCTCCATCAAAAGATATGCTCAGCTCTGTGAGTTAAACTCAATCATCACAAAAATTTTCTGAGAATGCTTCTGTCTTGTTTTAGGATGAAGTTATTTCCTTTACGACGATAGGCCTCAAAGAGGTCCAAATCTCCACTTGCAGATTCTGCAGAAGGAGTGTTTCAAACCTGAACTATCAGAGAAAGGTTCAACACTGTGAGTTGAATGCAAGCATCACGAAGAAGGTTCTGAGAATGCTTCTGTTTAGATAGGTGAGTTTTCTCCCGTATCCAAAGAAATCCTCAGAGAGGTCCAAATATCCACTTGCAGATTCTACAGAAAGTGTGTTTTGAAACTGCTCCATCCAAAGGAATGTTCAGCTCTGTGAGTTGAACTCAATCGTCACAAAGTGTTTCCTGGGAATGCTACTGTCTAGTTTTTATGGGCAGTTATATCCTCTGCTGCCATAGGCCTCAAAGCGGTCCAAATCTCCCCTTTCAGATTCTACCAAAAGTGTGTTTCCAAACGGCTCTATCAAAGGGAATGTTCAACTCTGTGACTTGAATGCAATCATCACAAAGCAGTTTCTGAGAATGCTTCCATGTAGCTTTTATGAGCAGATATTTCCTTTTCCACCCCAGGCCTCGAAGCCCTCCAAATGTCCCCTGGCAGATGCTAGAAAGAGAGGGTTTCAAAGCTGCTCTATCAAAAGGAAAGTACAACTCTGTGAGTTGAATGCAAACATCACAAAGAAGTTCCTGAGCATGCTTCCGTTTAGCTTTTATGGGAAGATTATCCCTTTTCCATCGAAATGTTCAAAGAGGTCCACATGTCCGCTTGCAGATTCCACCGAAAGAGTGTTTCCAAACTGCTGTATCAAAAGGAATCTTCAACTCCGTGAGTTGAATGCAATCATCACAAAGAAGTTTCTGACAACGCTTCTCTCTAGTTTTTATGTGAAGATATTTCCTTTTCCGCCACAGGCCTGAAAGCGCTCCAAATGTCCACTTGGAGACCCTACGAAAAGAATGTTTCAAAACTGCTCTATGAAAAGCAATGTTATACTCTGGGTGTTGAACACAAGCCTCACAAAGGAGTTTCTGAGAATTCTTCTGTTTACTTTTTACGTGAAGATATTCCCGTTTCCAAAGAAATCTTCACAGACTTCCACCTATCCATTTGCAGATGCTTGAAAAAGAGAGTTTCAAAACTGCTCTATCAAAAGGAATGTTCAACTCTGTGAGTTGAATGCAGTCATCACAGAGAAGTTTCTGAGAAGGCTTCTGTCTAGATTTTATGTGAAGATATACCCGTTTCGAACAAAGGCCACAAAGTGCTCCAAATATCCACTTGCAGGTCCTCCAACAAGAGTGTTTCAAACGTGAACTATCAAAGGAAGGTTCAACTCTGGACTTTGAATGCAAACGTCAGAAAGATGTTTCTGCGAAAGCTTCTGTTTAGTTAGGTGACGTTATCCCGTTTCCAATGAAATCCTCAGAGAGGTCCAAATATCCACCTGCAGATTCTGCAAAAAGTGTGTTTCCAAACTACTCCACCCAAAGGCATGTTCAGCTCTGTGAGTTAAACTCAATCATCACAAAGTATTTTCTGAGAATGCTTCTGTCCAGTTTTTACATGAAGCTGTTTCCTTTACAACCGTAGGCCTCAAAGCGTTCCAAATCTCCACTTGCAGATACTACGAAAAGGGCGTTTCAACCTGAACTCACAAGGGAAGGTTCAACTCTGTCAGTTGAATGCCAACATCACAAAGAAGTTCTGGGAATGTTTCTCTTCAGTTATGTGAGTTTTATCCCGTTTCCAACGAAATTCTCAGAGAAGTACAAATATCCACTTGCATATTCTACAAAAAGTGTGTTTTGAAAGTGCTCCATCAAAAGATATGCTCAGCTCTGTGAGTTAAACTCAATCATCACAAAGAATTTTCTGAGAATGTTTCTGTCTTGTTTTAGGATGAAGTTATTTCCTTTACGACGATAGGCCTCAAAGAGGTCCAAATCTCCACTTGCAGATTCTGCAGAAGGAGTGTTTCAAACCTGAACTATCAGAGAAAGGTTCAACACTGTGAGTTGAATGCAAGCATCACGAAGAAGGTTCTGAGAATGCTTCTGTTTAGATAAGTGAGTTTTCTCCCGTATCCAACGAAATCCTCAGAGAGGTCCAAATATCCACTTGCAGATTCTACAGAAAGAGTGTTTTCAGACTGCTCCATCCAAAGGAATGTTCAGCTCTGTGAGTTGAACTCAATCGTCACAAAGTGTTTCCTGGGAATGCTACTGTCTAGTTTTTATGGGCAGTTATATCCTCTGCTGCCATAGGCCTCAAAGCGGTCCAAATCTCCCCTTTCAGATTCTACCAAAAGTGTGTTTCCAAACGGCTCTATCAAAGGGAATGTTCAACTCTGTGACTTGAATGCAATCATCACAAAGCAGTTTCTGAGAATGCTTCCATGTAGCTTTTATGAGCAGATATTTCCTTTTCCACCCCAGGCCTCGAAGCCCTCCAAATGTCCCCTTGCAGATGCTAGAAAGAGAGGGTTTCAAAGCTGCTCTATCAAAAGGAAAGTACAACTCTGTGAGTTGAATGCAAACATCACAAAAAGTTCCTGAGCATGCTTCCGTTTAGCTTTTATGGGAAGATTATCCCTTTTCCATCGAAATGTTCAAAGAGGTCCACATATCCGCTTGCGGATTCCACCGAAAGAGTGTTTCCAAACTGCTGTATCAAAAGGAATCTTCAACTCCGTGAGTTGAATGCAATCATCACAAAGAAGTTTCTGACAACGCTTCTCTCTAGTTTTTATGTGAAGATATTTCCTTTTCCACCACAGGCCTGAAAGCGCTCCAAATGTCCACTTGGAGACTCTACGAAAAGAATGTTTCAAAACTGCTCTATGAAAAGCAATGTTATACTCTGGGAGTTGAACACAAGCCTCACAAAGGAGTTTCTGAGAATGCTTCTGTTTACTTTTTACGTGAAGATATTCCCGTTTCCAAAGAAATCTTCACAGAGTTCCACCTATCCATTTGCAGATGCTAGAAAAAGAGAGTTTCAAAACTGCTCTATCAAAAGGAATGTTCAACTCTGTGAGTTGAATGCAGTCATCACAGAGAAGTTTCTGAGAAGGCTTCTGTCTAGATTTTATGTGAAGATATACCCGTTTCGAACAAACGCCACAAAGTGCTCCAAATATCCACTTGCAGGTCCTCCAACAAGAGTGTTTCAAACGTGAACTATCAAAGGAAGGTTCAACTCTGGACTTTGAATGCAAACGTCAGAAAGATGTTTCTGCGAAAGCTTCTGTTTAGTTAGGTGACGTTATCCCGTTTCCAACGAAATCCTCAGAGAGGTCCAAATATCCACCTGCAGATTCTGCAAAAAGTGTGTTTCCAAACTGCTCCACCCAAAGGCATGTTCAGCTCTGTGAGTTAAACTCAATCATCACAAAGTATTTTCTGAGAATGCTTCTGTCCAGTTTTTACATGAAGCTGTTTCCTTTACTACCGTAGGCCTCAAAGCGTTCCAAATCTCCACTTGCAGATACTACGAAAAGGGCGTTTCAACCTGAACTCACAAGGGAAGGTTCAACTCTGTCAGTTGAATGCCAACATCACAAAGAAGTTCTGGGAATGTTTCTCTTCAGTTATGTGAGTTTTATCCCGTTTCCAACGAAATTCTCAGAGAAGTACAAATATCCACTTGCATATTCTACACAAAGTGTGTTTTGAAAGTGCTCCATCAAAAGATATGCTCAGCTCTGTGAGGTAAACTCAATCATCACAAAGAATTTTCTGAGAATGCTTCTGTCTTGTTTTAGGATGAAGTTATTTCCTTTACGACGATAGGCCTCAAAGAGGTCCAAATCTCCACTTGCAGATTCTGCAGAAGGAGTGTTTCAAACCTGAACTATCAGAGAAAGGTTCAACACTGTGAGTTGAATGCAAGCATCACGAAGAAGGTTCTGAGAATGCTTCTGTTTAGATAGGTGAGTTTTCTCCCGTATCCAACGAAATCCTCAGAGAGGTCCAAATATCCACTTGCAGATTCTACAGAAAGTGTGTTTTGAAACTGCTCCATCCAAAGGAATGTTCAGCTCTGTGAGTTGAACTCAATCGTCACAAAGTGTTTCCTGGGAATGCTACTGTCTAGTTTTTATGGGCAGTTATATCCTCTGCTGCCATAGGCCTCAAAGCGGTCCAAATCTCCCCTTTCAGATTCTACCAAAAGTGTGTTTCCAAACGGCTCTATCAAAGGGAATGTTCAACTCTGTGACTTGCATGCAATCATCACAAAGCAGTTTCTGAGAATGCTTCCATGTAGCTTTTAGGAGAAGATATTTCCTTTTCCACCCCAGGCCTCGAAGCCCTCCAAATGTCCCCTTGCAGATGCTAGAAAGAGAGGGTTTCAAAGCTGCTCTATCAAAAGGAAAGTACAACTCTGTGAGTTGAATGCAAACATCACAAAGAAGCTCCTGAGCATGCTTCCGTTTAGCTTTCATGGGAAGATTATCCCTTTTCCATCGAAATGTTCAAAGAGGTCCACATATCCGCTTGCAGATTCCACCGAAAGAGTGTCTCCAAACTGCTGTATCAAAAGGAATCTTCAACTCCGTGAGTTGAATGCAATCATCACAAAGAAGTTTCTGACAATGCTTCTCTCTCTAGTTTTTATGTGAAGATATTTCCTTTTCCACCACTGGCCTGAAAGCGTTCCAAATGTCCACTTGGAGGCTCTACGAAAAGAATGTTTCAAAACTGCTCTATGAAAAGCAATGTTATACTCTGGGAGTTGAACACAAGCCTCACAAAGTAGTTTCTGAGAAGGCTTCTGTTTACTTTTTACGTGAAGATATTCCCGTTTCCAAAGCAAATCTTCACAGAGTTCCACCTATCCATTTGCAGATGCTAGAAAAAGAGAGTTTGAAAACTGCTCTATCAAAAGGAATGTTCAACTCTGTGAGTTGAATGCAATCATCACAGAGAAGTTTCTGAGAAGGCTTCTGTCTAGATTTTATGTGAAGATATACCCGTTTCGAACGAAGGCCACAAAGTGCTCCAAATATCCACTTGCAGGTCCTCCAACAAGAGTGTTTCAAACGTGAACTATCAAAGGAAGGTTCAACTCTGGACTTTGAATGCAAACGTCAGAAAGATGTTTCTGCGAAAGCTTCTGTTTAGTTAGGTGACGTTATCCCGTTTCCAACGAAATCCTCAGAGAGGTCCAAATATCCACCTGCAGATTCTGCAAAAAGTGTGTTTCCAAACTGCTCCACCCAAAGGCATGTTCAGCTCTGTGAGTTAAACTCAATCATCACAAAGTATTTTCTGAGAATGCTTCTGTCCAGTTTTTACATGAAGCTGTTTCCTTTACTACCGTAGGCCTCAAAGCGTTCCAAATCTCCACTTGCAGATACTACGAAAAGGGCGTTTCAACCTGAACTCACAAGGGAAGGTTCAACTCTGTCAGTTGAATGCCAACATCACAAAGAAGTTCTGGGAATGTTTCTCTTCAGTTATGTGAGTTTTATCCCGTTTCCAACGAAATTCTCAGAGAAGTACAAATATCCACTTGCATATTCTACACAAAGTGTGTTTTGAAAGTGCTCCATCAAAAGATATGCTCAGCTCTGTGAGTTAAACTCAATCATCACAAAGAATTTTCTGAGAATGCTTCTGTCCTGTTTTAGGATGAAGTTATTTCCTTTACGACGATAGGCCTCAAAGAGGTCCAAATCTCGACTTGCAGATTCTGCAGAAGGAGTGTTTCAAACCTGAACTATCAGAGAAAGGTTCAACACTGTGAGTTGAATGCAAGCATCACGAAGAAGGTTCTGAGAATGCTTCTGTTTAGATAGGTGAGTTTTCTCCCGTATCCAACGAAATCCTCAGAGAGGTCCAAATATCCACTTGCAGATTCTACAGAAAGTGTGTTTTGAAACTGCTCCATCCAAAGGAATGTTCAGCTCTGTGAGTTGAACTCAATCGTCACAAAGTGTTTCCTGGGAATGCTACTGTCTAGTTTTTATGGGCAGTTATATCCTCTGCTGCCATAGGCCTCAAAGCGGTCCAAATCTCCCCTTTCAGATTCTACCAAAAGTGTGTTTCCAAACGGCTCTATCAAAGGGAATGTTCAACTCTGTGACTTGAATGCAATCATCACAAAGCAGTTTCTGAGAATGCTTCCATGTAGCTTTTAGGAGCAGATATTTCCTTTTCCACCCCAGGCCTCGAAGCCCTCCAAATGTCCCCTTGCAGATGCTAGAAAGAGAGGGTTTCAAAGCTGCTCTATCAAAAGGAAAGTACAACTCTGTGAGTTGAATGCAAACATCACAAAGAAGCTCCTGAGCATGCTTCCGTTTAGCTTTCATGGGAAGATTATCCCTTTTCCATCGAAATGTTCAAAGAGGTCCACATATCCGCTTGCAGATTCCACCGAAAGAGTGTCTCCAAACTGCTGTATCAAAAGGAATCTTCAACTCCGTGAGTTGAATGCAATCATCACAAAGAAGTTTCTGACAATGCTTCTCTCTAGTTTTTATGTGAAGATATTTCCTTTTCCACCACAGGCCTGAAAGCGCTCCAAATGTCCACTTGGAGACTCTACGAAAAGAATGTTTCAAAACTCCTCTATGAAAAGCAATGTTATACTCTGGGAGTTGAACACAAGCCTCACAAAGGAGTTTCTGAGAATGCTTCTGTTTACTTTTTACGTGAAGATATTCCCGTTTCCAAAGAAATCTTCACAGACTTCCACCTATCCATTTGCAGATGCTAGAAAAAGAGAGTTTCAAAACTGCTCTATCAAAAGGAATGTTCAACTCTGTGAGTTGAATGCAGTCATCACAGAGAAGTTTCTGAGAAGGCTTCTGTCTAGATTTTATGTGAAGATATACCC
This sequence comes from Homo sapiens, assembly GCF_000001405.40. Taxonomy (NCBI): domain Eukaryota; kingdom Metazoa; phylum Chordata; class Mammalia; order Primates; family Hominidae; genus Homo; species Homo sapiens. The sequence continues at coordinate 122,322,739 of NC_000001.11, read as the reverse complement.
GTTTCGAACGAAGGCCACAAAGTGCTCCAAATATCCACTTGCAGGTCCTCCAACAAGAGTGTTTCAAACGTGAACTATCAAAGGAAGGTTCAACTCTGGACTTTGAATGCAAACGTCAGAAAGATGTTTCTGCGAAAGCTTCTGTTTAGTTAGGTGACGTTATCCCGTTTCCAACGAAATCCTCAGAGAGGTCCAAATATCCACCTGCAGATTCTGCAAAAAGTGTGTTTCCAAACTGCTCCACCCAAAGGCATGTTCAGCTCTGTGAGTTAAACTCAATCATCACAAAGTATTTTCTGAGAATGCTTCTGTCCAGTTTTTACATGAAGCTGTTTCCTTTACTACCGTAGGCCTCAAAGCGTTCCAAATCTCCACTTGCAGATACTACGAAAAGGGCGTTTCAACCTGAACTCACAAGGGAAGGTTCAACTCTGTCAGTTGAATGCCAACATCACAAAGAAGTTCTGGGAATGTTTCTCTTCAGTTATGTGAGTTTTATCCCGTTTCCAACGAAATTCTCAGAGAAGTACAAATATCCACTTGCAGATTCTACACAAAGTGTGTTTTGAAAGTGCTCCATCAAAAGATATGCTCAGCTCTGTGAGTTAAACTCAATCATCACAAAGAATTTTCTGAGAATGCTTCTGTCTTGTTTTAGGATGAAGTTATTTCCTTTACGACGATAGGCCTCAAAGAGGTCCAAATCTCCACTTGCAGATTCTGCAGAAGGAGTGTTTCAAACCTGAACTATCAGAGAAAGGTTCAACACTGTGAGTTGAATGCAAGCATCACGAAGAAGGTTCTGAGAATGCTTCTGTTTAGATAGGTGAGTTTTCTCCCGTATCCAACGAAATCCTCAGAGAGGTCCAAATATCCACTTGCAGATTCTACAGAAAGTGTGTTTTGAAACTGCTCCATCCAAAGGAATGTTCAGCTCTGTGAGTTGAACTCAATCGTCACAAAGTGTTTCCTGGGAATGCTACTGTCTAGTTTTTATGGGCAGTTATATCCTCTGCTGTCATAGGCCTCAAAGCGGTCCAAATCTCCCCTTTCAGATTCTACCAAAAGTGTGTTTCCAAACGGCTCTATTAAAGGGAATGTTCAACTCTATGACTTGAATGCAATCATCACAAAGCAGTTTCTGAGAATGCTTCCATGTAGCTTTTATGAGAAGATATTTCCTTTTCCACCCCAGGCCTCGAAGCCCTCCAAATGTCCCCTTGCAGATGCCAGAAAGAGAGGGTTTCAAAGCTGCTCTATCAAAAGGAAAGTACAACTCTGTGAGTTGAATGCAAACATCAAAAAGAAGATCCTGAACATGCTTCCGTTTAGCTTTTATGGAAAGATTATCCCTTTTCCATCGAAATGTTCAAAGAGGTCCGCATATCCGCTTGCAGATTCCACCGAAAGTGTGTTTCCAAACTGCTGTATCAAAAGGAATCCTCAACTCCGTGAGTTCCATGCAATCATCACAAAGAAGTTTCTGACAATGCTTCTCTCTAGTTTTTATGTGAAGATATTTCCTTTTCCACCACAGGCCTGAAAGCGCTCCAAATGTCCACTTGGAGAATCTACGAAAAGAATGTTTCAAAACTGCTCTATGAAAAGCAATGTTATACTCTGGGAGTTGAACACAAGCCTCCCAAAGTAGTTTCCGAGAAGGCTTCTGTTTACATTTTACGTGAGGATATTCCCGTTTCCAAAGAAATCTTCACAGAGTTCCACGTATCCATTTGCAGATGCTAGAAAAAGAGAGTTTCAAAACTGCTCTGTCAAAAGAAATGTTCAAATCTGTGAGTTGAATGCAATCATCACAGAGAAGTTTCTGAGAAGGCTTCTGTCTAGATTTTATGTGAAGATATACCTGTTTCGAACGAAGGCCACAAAGTGCTCCAAATGTCCACTTGCAGGTCCTCCAAAAAGAGTGTTTCAAACGTGAACTATCAAAGGAAGGTTCAACTCTGGACTTTGAATGCAAACGTCAGAAAGATGTTTCTGCGAAAGCTTCTGTTTAATTAGGTGACGTTATCCCGTTTCCAACGAAATCCTCAGAGAGGTCCAAATATCCACCTGCAGATTCTGCAAAAAGTGTGTTTCCAAACTGCTCCACCCAAAGGCATGTTCAGCTCTGTGAGTTAAACTCAATCATCACAAAGTATTTTCTGAGAATGCTTCTGTCCAGTTTTTACATGAAGCTGTTTCCTTTACTACCGTAGGCCTCAAAGCGTTCCAAATCTCCACTTGCAGATACTACGAAAAGGGCGTTTCAACCTGAACTCACAAGGGAAGGTTCAACTCTGTCAGTTGAATGCCAACATCACAAAGAAGTTCTGGGAAGGTTTCTCTTCAGTTATGTGAGTTTTATCCCGTTTCCAACGAAATTCTCAGAGAAGTACAAATATCCACTTGCATATTCTACACAAAGTGTGTTTTGAAAGTGCTCCATCAAAAGATATGCTCAGCTCTGTGAGTTAAACTCAATCATCACAAAGAATTTTCTGAGAATGCTTCTGTCTTGTTTTAGGATGAAGTTATTTCCTTTACGACGATAGGCCTCAAAGAGGTCCAAATCTCCACTTGCAGATTCTGCAGAAGGAGTGTTTCAAAACTGAACTATCAGAGAAAGGTTCAACACTGTGAGTTGAATGCAAGCATCACGAAGAAGGTTCTGAGAATGCTTCTGTTTAGATAGGTGAGTTTTCTCCCGTATCCAACGAAATCCTCAGAGAGGTCCAAATATCCACTTGCAGATTCTACAGAAAGTGTGTTTTGAAACTGCTCCATCCAAAGGAATGTTCAGCTCTGTGAGTTGAACTCAATCGTCACAAAGTGTTTCCTGGGAATGCTACTGTCTAGTTTTTATGGGCAGTTATATCCTCTGCTGCCATAGGCCTCAAAGCGGTCCAAATCTCCCCTTTCAGATTCTACCAAAAGTGTGTTTCCAAACGGCTCTATCAAAGGGAATGTTCAACTCCGTGACTTGAATGCAATCATCACAAAGCAGTTTCTGAGAATGCTTCCATGTAGCTTTTATGAGCAGATATTTCCTTTTCCACCCCAGGCCTCGAAGCCCTCCAAATGTCCCCTTGCAGATGCTAGAAAGAGAGGGTTTCAAAGCTGCTCTATCAAAAGGAAAGTACAACTCTGTGAGTTGAATGCAAACATCACAAAGAAGTTCCTGAGCATGCTTCCGTTTAGCTTTTATGGGAAGATTATCCCTTTTCCATCGAAATGTTCAAAGAGGTCCACATATCCGCTTGCAGATTCCACCGAAAGAGTGTTTCCAAACTGCTGTATCAAAAGGAATCTTCAACTCCGTGAGTTGAATGCAATCATCACAAAGAAGTTTCTGACAACGCTTCTCTCTAGTTTTTATGTGAAGATATTTCCTTTTCCACCACAGGCCTGAAAGCGCTCCAAATGTCCACTTGGAGACTCTACGAAAAGAATGTTTCAAAACTGCTCTATGAAAAGCAATGTTATACTCTGGGAAGTTGAACACAAGCCTCACAAAGGAGTTTCTGAGAATGCTTCTGTTTACTTTTTACGTGAAGATATTCCCGTTTCCAAAGAAATCTTCACAGACTTCCACCTATCCATTTGCAGATGCTTGAAAAAGAGAGTTTCAAAACTGCTCTATCAAAAGGAATGTTCAACTCTGTGAGTTGAATGCAGTCATCACAGAGAAGTTTCTGAGAAGGCTTCTGTCTAGATTTTATGTGAAGATATACCCGTTTCGAACAAAGGCCACAAAGTGCTCCAAATATCCACTTGCAGGTCCTCCAACAAGAGTGTTTCAAACGTGAACTATCAAAGGAAGGTTCAACTCTGGACTTTGAATGCAAACGTCAGAAAGATGTTTCTGCGAAAGCTTCTGTTTAGTTAGGTGACGTTATCCCGTTTCCAACGAAATCCTCAGAGAGGTCCAAATATCCACCTGCAGATTCTGCAAAAAGTGTGTTTCCAAACTGCTCCACCCAAAGGCATGTTCAGCTCTGTGAGTTAAACTCAATCATCACAAAGTATTTTCTGAGAAAGCTTCTGTCCAGTTTTTACATGAAGCTGTTTCCTTTACTACCGTAGGCCTCAAAGCGTTCCAAATCTCCACTTGCAGATACTACGAAAAGGGCGTTTCAACCTGAACTCACAAGGGAAGGTTCAACTCTGTCAGTTGAATGCCAACATCACAAAGAAGTTCTGGGAATGTTTCTCTTCAGTTATGTGAGTTTTATCCCGTTTCCAACGAAATTCTCAGAGAAGTACAAATATCCACTTGCATATTCTACAAAAAGTGTGTTTTGAAAGTGCTCCATCAAAAGATATGCTCAGCTCTGTGAGTTAAACTCAATCATCACAAAGAATTTTCTGAGAATGCTTCTGTCTTGTTTTAGGATGAAGTTATTTCCTTTACGACGATAGGCCTCAAAGAGGTCCAAATCTCCACTTGCAGATTCTGCAGAAGGAGTGTTTCAAACCTGAACTATCAGAGAAAGGTTCAACACTGTGAGTTGAATGCAAGCATCACGAAGAAGGTTCTGAGAATGCTTCTGTTTAGATAAGTGAGTTTTCTCCCGTATCCAACGAAATCCTCAGAGAGGTCCAAATATCCACTTGCAGATTCTACAGAAAGTGTGTTTTGAAACTGCTCCATCCAAAGGAATGTTCAGCTACTGTGAGTTGAACTCAATCGTCACAAAGTATTTCCTGGGAATGCTACTGTCTAGTTTTTATGGGCAGTTATATCCTCTGCTGCCATAGGCCTCAAAGCGGTCCAAATCTCCCCTTTCAGATTCTACCAAAAGTGTGTTTCCAAACGGCTCTATCAAAGGGAATGTTCAACTCTGTGACTTGAATGCAATCATCACAAAGCAGTTTCTGATAATGCTTCCATGTAGCTTTAATGAGCAGATATTTCCTTTTCCACCCCAGGCCTCGAAGCCCTCCAAATGTCCCCTTGCAGATGCTAGAAAGAGAGGGTTTCAAAGCTGCTCTATCAAAAGGAAAGTACAACTCTGTGAGTTGAATGCAAACATCACAAAGAAGCTCCTGAGCATGCTTCCGTTTAGCTTTTATGGGAAGATTATCCCTTTTCCATCGAAATGTTCAAAGAGGTACACATATCCGCTTGCAGATTCCACCGAAAGAGTGTTTCCAAACTGCTGTATCAAAAGGAATCTTCAACTCCGTGAGTTGAATGCAATCATCACAAAGAAGTTTCTGACAACGCTTCTCTCTAGTTTTTATATGAAGATATTTCCTTTTCCACCACAGGCCTGAAAGCGCTCCAAATGTCCACTTGGAGACTCTACGAAAAGAATGTTTCAAAACTGCTCTATGAAAAGCAATGTTATACTCTGGGAGTTGAACACAAGCCTCACAAAGGAGTTTCTGAGAATGCTTCTGTTTACTTTTTACGTGAAGATATTCCCGTTTCCAAAGAAATCTTCACAGACTTCCACCTATCCATTTGCAGATGCTAGAAAAAGAGAGTTTCAAAACTGCTCTATCAAAAGGAATGTTCAACTCTGTGAGTTGAATGCAGTCATCACAGAGAAGTTTCTGAGAAGGCTTCTGTCTAGATTTTATGTGAAGATATACCCGTTTCGAACGAAGGCCACAAAGTGCTCCAAATATCCACTTGCAGGTCCTCCAACAAGAGTGTTTCAAACGTGAACTATCAAAGGAAGGTTCAACTCTGGACTTTGAATGCAAACGTCAGAAAGATGTTTCTGCGAAAGCTTCTGTTTAGTTAGGTGACGTTATCCCGTTTCCAAGGAAATCCTCAGAGAGGTCCAAATATCCACCTGCAGATTCTGCAAAAAGTGTGTTTCCAAACTGCTCCACCCAAAGGCATGTTCAGCTCTGTGAGTTAAACTCAATCATCACAAAGTATTTTCTGAGAATGCTTCTGTCCAGTTTTTACATGAAGCTGTTTCCTTTACTACCGTAGGCCTCAAAGCGTTCCAAATCTCAACTTGCAGATACTACGAAAAGGGCGTTTCAACCTGAACTCTCAAGGGAAGGTTCAACTCTGTCAGTTGAATGCCAACATCACAAAGAAGTTCTGGGAATGTTTCTCTTCAGTTATGTGAGTTTTATCCCGTTTCCAACGAAATTCTCAGAGAAGTACAAATATCCACTTGCATATTCTACAAAAAGTGTGTTTTGAAAGTGCTCCATCAAAAGATATGCTCAGCTCTGTGAGTTAAACTCAATCATCACAAAGAATTTTCTGAGAATGCTTCTGTCTTGTTTTAGGATGAAGTTATTTCCTTTACGACGATAGGCCTCAAAGAGGTCCAAATCTCCACTTGCAGATTCTGCAGAAGGAGTGTTTCAAACCTGAACTATCAGAGAAAGGTTCAACACTGTGAGTTGAATGCAAGCATCACGAAGAAGGTTCTGAGAATGCTTCTGTTTAGATAGGTGAGTTTTCTCCCGTATCCAACGAAATCCTCAGAGAGGTCCAAATATCCACTTGCAGATTCTACAGAAAGTGTGTTTTGAAACTGCTCCATCCAAAGGAATGTTCAGCTCTGTGAGTTGAACTCAATCGTCACAAAGTGTTTCCTGGGAATGCTACTGTCTAGTTTTTATGGGCAGTTATATCCTCTGCTGCCATAGGCCTCAAAGCGGTCCAAATCTCCCCTTTCAGATTCTACCAAAAGTGTGTTTCCAAACGGCTCTATCAAAGGGAATGTTCAACTCCGTGACTTGAATGCAATCATCACAAAGCAGTTTCTGAGAATGCTTCCATGTAGCTTTTATGAGCAGATATTTCCTTTTCCACCCCAGGCCTCGAAGCCCTCCAAATGTCCCCTTGCAGATGCTAGAAAGAGAGGGTTTCAAAGCTGCTCTATCAAAAGGAAAGTACAACTCTGTGAGTTGAATGCAAACATCACAAAGAAGTTCCTGAGCATGCTTCCGTTTAGCTCTTATGGGAAGATTATCCCTTTTCCATCGAAATGTTCAAAGAGGTCCACATATCCGCTTGCAGATTCCACCGAAAGAGTGTTTCCAAACTGCTGTATCAAAAGGAATCTTCAACTCCGTGAGTTGAATGCAATCATCACAAAGAAGTCTCTGACAACGCTTCTCTCTAGTTTTTATGTGAAGATATTTCCTTTTCCACCACAGGCCTGAAAGCGCTCCAAATGTCCACTTGGAGACTCTACGAAAAGAATGTTTCAAAACTGCTCTATGAAAAGCAATGTTATACTCTGGGAGTTGAACACAAGCCTCACAAAGGAGTTTCTGAGAATGCTTCTGTTTACTTTTTACGTGAAGATATTCCCGTTTCCAAAGAAATCTTCACAGAGTTCCACCTATCCATTTGCAGATGGTAGAAAAAGAGAGTTTCAAAACTGCTCTATCAAAAGGAATGTTCAACTCTGTGAGTTGAATGCAATCATCACAGAGAAGTTTCTGAGAAGGCTTCTGTCTAGATTTTTTGTGAAGATATACCCGTTTCGAACGAAGGCCACAAAGTGCTCCAAATATGCACTTGCATGTCCTCCAACAAGAGTGTTTCAAACGTGAACTATCAAAGGAAGGTTCAACTCTGGACTTTGAATGCAAACGTCAGAAAGATGTTTCTGCGAAAGCTTCTGTTTAGTTAGGTGACGTTATCCCGTTTCCAACGAAATCCTCAGAGAGGTCCAAATATCCACCTGCAGATTCTGCAAAAAGTGTGTTTCCAAACTGCTCCACCCAAAGGCATGTTCAGCTCTGTGAGTTAAACTCAATCATCACAAAGTATTTTCTGAGAATGCTTCTGTCCAGTTTTTACATGAAGCTGTTTCCTTTACTACCGTAGGCCTCAAAGCGTTCCAAATCTCCACTTGCAGATACTACGAAAAGAGCGTTTCAACCTGAACTCACAAGGGAAGGTTCAACTCTGTCAGTTGAATGCCAACATCACAAAGAAGTTCTGGGAATGTTTCTCTTCAGTTATGTGAGTTTTATCCCGTTTCCAACGAAATTCTCAGAGAAGTACAAATATCCACTTGCATCTTCTACAAAAAGTGTGTTTTGAATGTGCTCCATCAAAAGATATGCTCAGCTCTGTGAGTTAAACTCAATCATCACAAAGAATTTTCTGAGAATGCTTCTGTCTTGTTTTAGGATGAAGTTATTTCCTTTACGACGATAGGCCTCAAAGAGGTCCAAATCTCCACTTGCAGATTCTGCAGAAGGAGTGTTTCAAACCTGAACTATCAGAGAAAGGTTCAACACTGTGAGTTGAATGCAAGCATCACGAAGAAGGTTCTGAGAATGCTTCTGTTTAGATAGGTGAGTTTTCTCCCGTATCCAACGAAATCCTCAGAGAGGTCCAAATATCCACTTGCAGATTCTACAGAAAGTGTGTTTTGAAACTGCTCCATCCAAAGGAATGTTCAGCTCTGTGAGTTGAACTCAATCGTCACAAAGTGTTTCCTGGGAATGCTACTGTCTAGTTTTTATGGGCAGTTATATCCTCTGCTGCCATAGGCCTCAAAGCGGTCCAAATCTCCCCTTTCAGATTCTACCAAAAGTGTGTTTCCAAACGGCTCTATCAAAGGGAATGTTCAACTCTGTGACTTGCATGCAATCATCACAAAGCAGTTTCTGAGAATGCTTCCATGTAGCTTTTATGAGCAGATATTTCCTTTTCCACCCCAGGCCTCGAAGCCCTCCAAATGTCCCCTTGCAGATGCTAGAAAGAGAGGGTTTCAAAGCTGCTCTATCAAAAGGAAAGTACAACTCTGTGAGTTGAATGCAAACATCACAAAGAATTTCCAGAGCATGCTTCCGTTTAGCTCTTATGGGAAGATTATCCCTTTTCCATCGAAATGTTCAAAGAGGTCCACATATCCGCTTGCAGATTCCACCGAAAGAGTGTTTCCAAACTACTGTATCAAAAGGAATCTTCAACTCCGTGAGTTGAATGCAATCATCACAAAGAAGTTTCTGACAACGCTTCTCTCTAGTTTTTATGTGAAGATATTTCCTTTTCCACCACAGGCCTGAAAGCGCTCCAAATGTCCACTTGGAGACTCTACGAAAAGAATGTTTCAAAACTGCTCTATGAAAAGCAATGTTATACTCTGGGAGTTGAACACAAGCCTCACAAAGGAGTTTCTGAGAATGCTTCTGTTTACTTTTTACGTGAAGATATTCCCGTTTCCAAAGAAATCTTCACAGACTTCCACCTATCCATTTGCAGATGCTAGAAAAAGAGAGTTTCAAAACTGCTCTATCAAAAGGAATGTTCAACTCTGTGAGTTGAATGCAGTCATCACAGAGAAGTTTCTGAGAAGGCTTCTGTCTAGATTTTATGTGAAGATATACCCGTTTCGAACGAAGGCCACAAAGTGCTCCAAATATCCACTTGCAGGTCCTCCAACAAGAGTGTTTCAAACGTGAACTATCAAAGGAAGGTTCAACTCTGGACTTTGAATGCAAACGTCAGAAAGATGTTTCTGCGAAAGCTTCTGTTTAGTTAGGTGACGTTATCCCGTTTCCAACGAAATCCTCAGAGAGGTCCAAATATCCACCTGCAGATTCTGCAAAAAGTGTGTTTCCAAACTGCTGCACCCAAAGGCATGTTCAGCTCTGTGAGTTAAACTCAATCATCACAAAGTATTTTCTGAGAATGCTTCTGTCCAGTTTTTACATGAAGCTGTTTCCTTTACTACCGTAGGCCTCAAAGCGTTCCAAATCTCCACTTGCAGATACTACGAAAAGGGCGTTTCAACCTGAACTCACAAGGGAAGGTTCAACTCTGTCAGTTGAATGCCAACATCACAAAGAAGTTCTGGGAATGTTTCTCTTCAGTTATGTGAGTTTTATCCCGTTTCCAACGAAATTCTCAGAGAAGTACAAATATCCACTTGCATATTCTACACAAAGTGTGTTTTGAAAGTGCTCCATCAAAAGATATGCTCAGCTCTGTGAGTTAAACTCAATCATCACAAAGAATTTTCTGAGAATGCTTCTGTCTTGTTTTAGGATGAAGTTATTTCCTTTACGACGATAGGCCTCAAAGAGGTCCAAATCTCCACTTCCAGATTCTGCAGAAGGAGTGTTTCAAACCTGAACTATCAGAGAAAGGTTCAACACTGTGAGTTGAATGCAAGCATCACGAAGAAGGTTCTGAGAATGCTTCTGTTTAGATAGGTGAGTTTTCTCCCGTATCCAACGAAATCCTCAGAGAGGTCCAAATATCCACTTGCAGATTCTACAGAAAGTGTGTTTTGAAACTGCTCCATCCAAAGGAATGTTCAGCTCTGTGAGTTGAACTCAATCGTCACAAAGTGTTTCCTGGGAATGCTACTGTCTAGTTTTTATGGGCAGTTATATCCTCTGCTGTCATAGGCCTCAAAGCGGTCCAAATCTCCCCTTTCAGATTCTACCAAAAGTGTGTTTCCAAACGGCTCTATTAAAGGGAATGTTCAACTCTGTGACTTGAATGCAATCATCACAAAGCAGTTTCTGAGAATGCTTCCATGTAGCTTTTATGAGCAGATATTTCCTTTTCCACCCCAGGCCTCGAAGCCCTCCAAATGTCCCCTTGCAGATGCTAGAAAGAGAGGGTTTCAAAGCTGCTCTATCAAAAGGAAAGTACAACTCTGTGAGTTGAATGCAAACATCACAAAGAAGCTCCTGAGCATGCTTCCGTTTAGCTTTCATGGGAAGATTATCCCTTTTCCATCGAAATGTTCAAAGAGGTCCACATATCCGCTTGCAGATTCCACCGAAAGAGTGTTTCCAAACTGCTGTATCAAAAGGAATCGTCAACTCCGTGAGTTGAATGCAATCATCACAAAGAAGTTTCTGACAACGCTTCTCTCTAGTTTTTATGTGAAGATATTTCCTTTTCCACCACAGGCCTGAAAGCGCTCCAAATGTCCACTTGGAGACTCTACGAAAAGAATGTTTCAAAACTGCTCTATGAAAAGCAATGTTATACTCTGGGAGTTGAACACAAGCCTCACAAAGGAGTTTCTGAGAATGCTTCTGTTTACTTTTTACGTGAAGATATTCCCGTTTCCAAAGAAATCTTCACAGACTTCCACCTATCCATTTGCAGATGCTAGAAAAAGAGAGTTTCAAAACTGCTCTATCAAAAGGAATGTTCAACTCTGTGAGTTGAATGCAGTCATCACAGAGAAGTTTCTGAGAAGGCTTCTGTCTAGATTTTATGTGAAGATATACCCGTTTCGAACGAAGGCCACAAAGTGCTCCAAATATCCACTTGCAGGTCCTCCAACAAGAGTGTTTCAAACGTGAACTATCAAAGGAAGGTTCAACTCTGGACTTTGAATGCAAACGTCAGAAAGATGTTTCTGCGAAAGCTTCTGTTTAGTTAGGTGACGTTATCCCGTTTCCAACGAAATCCTCAGAGAGGTCCAAATATCCACCTGCAGATTCTGCAAAAAGTGTGTTTCCAAACTGCTCCACCCAAAGGCATGTTCAGCTCTGTGAGTTAAACTCAATCATCACAAAGTATTTTCTGAGAATGCTTCTGTCCAGTTTTTACATGAAGCTGTTTCCTTTACTACCGTAGGCCTCAAAGCGTTCCAAATCTCCACTTGCAGATACTACGAAAAGGGCGTTTCAACCTGAACTCACAAGGGAAGGTTCAACTCTGTCAGTTGAATGCCAACATCACAAAGAAGTTCTGGGAATGTTTCTCTTCAGTTATGTGAGTTTTATCCCGTTTCCAACGAAATTCTCAGAGAAGTACAAATATCCACTTGCATATTCTACACAAAGTGTGTTTTGAAAGTGCTCCATCAAAAGATATGCTCAGCTCTGTGAGTTAAACTCAATCATCACAAAGAATTTTCTGAGAATGCTTCTGTCTTGTTTTAGGATGAAGTTATTTCCTTTACGACGATAGGCCTCAAAGAGGTCCAAATCTCCACTTGCAGATTCTGCAGAAGGAGTGTTTCAAACCTGAACTATCAGAGAAAGGTTCAACACTGTGAGTTGAATGCAAGCATCACGAAGAAGGTTCTGAGAATGCTTCTGTTTAGATAGGTGAGTTTTCTCCCGTATCCAACGAAATCCTCAGAGAGGTCCAAATATCCACTTGCAGATTCTACAGAAAGTGTGTTTTGAAACTGCTCCATCCAAAGGAATGTTCAGCTCTGTGAGTTGAACTCAATCGTCACAAAGTGTTTCCTGGGAATGCTACTGTCTAGTTTTTATGGGCAGTTATATCCTCTGCTGCCATAGGCCTCAAAGCGGTCCAAATCTCCCCTTTCAGATTCTACCAAAAGTGTGTTTCCAAACGGCTCTATCAAAGGGAATGTTCAACTCTGTGACTTGAATGCAATCATCACAAAGCAGTTTCTGAGAATGCTTGCATGTAGCTTTAATGAGCAGATATTTCCTTTTCCACCCCAGGCCTCGAAGCCCTCCAAATGTCCCCTTGCAGATGCTAGAAAGAGAGGGTTTCAAAGCTGCTCTATCAAAAGGAAAGTACAACTCTGTGAGTTGAATGCAAACATCACAAAGAAGCTCCTGAGCATGCTTCCGTTTAGCTTTCATGGGAAGATTATCCCTTTTCCATCGAAATGTTCAAAGAGGTCCACATATCCGCTTGCAGATTCCACCGAAAGAGTGTTTCCAACCTGCTGTATCAAAAGGAATCTTCAACTCCGTGAGTTGAATGCAATCATCACAAAGAAGTTTCTGACAATGCTTCTCTCTAGTTTTTATGTGAAGATATTTCCTTTTCCACCACAGGCCTGAAAGCGCTCCAAATGTCCACTTGGAGACTCTACGAAAAGAATGTTTCAAAACTGCTCTATGAAAAGCAATGTTATACTCTGGGAGTTGAACACAAGCCTCACAAAGGACTTTCTGAGAATGCTTCTGTTTACTTTTTACGTGAAGATATTCCCGTTTCCAAAGAAATCTTCACAGACTTCCACCTATCCATTTGCAGATGCTAGAAAAAGAGAGTTTCAAAACTGCTCTATCAAAAGGAATGTTCAACTCTGTGAGTTGAATGCAGTCATCACAGAGAAGTTTCTGAGAAGGCTTCTGTCTAGATTTTATGTGAAGATATACCCGTTTCGAACGAAGGCCACAAAGTGCTCCAAATATCCACTTGCAGGTCCTCCAACAAGAGTGTTTCAAACGTGAACTATCAAAGGAAGGTTCAACTCTGGACTTTGAATGCAAACGTCAGAAAGATGTTTCTGCGAAAGCTTCTGTTTAATTAGGTGACGTTATCCCGTTTCCAACGAAATCCTCAGAGAGGTCCAAATATCCACCTGCAGATTCTGCAAAAAGTGTGTTTCCAAACTGCTCCACCCAAAGGCATGTTCAGCTCTGTGAGTTAAACTCAATCATCACAAAGTATTTTCTGAGAATGCTTCTGTCCAGTTTTTACATGAAGCTGTCTCCTTTACTACCGTAGGCCTCAAAGAGTTCCAAATCTCCACTTGCAGATACTACGAAAAGAGCGTTTCAACCTGAACTCACGAGGGAAGGTTCAACTCTGTCAGTTGAATGCCAACATCACAAAGAAGTTCTGGGAATGTTTCTCTTCAGTTATGTGAGTTTTATCCCGTTTCCAACGAAATTCTCAGAGAAGTACAAATATCCACTTGCATATTCTACAAAAAGTGTGTTTTGAAAGTGCTCCATCAAAAGATATGCTCAGCTCTGTGAGTTAAACTCAATCATCACAAAGAATTTTCTGAGAATGCTTCTGTCTTGTTTTAGGATGAAGTTATTTCCTTTACGACGATAGGCCTCAAAGAGGTCCAAATCTCCACTTGCAGATTCTGCAGAAGGAGTGTTTCAAACCTGAACTATAAGACAAAGGTTCAACACTGTGAGTTGAATGCAAGCATCACGAAGAAGGTTCTGAGAATGCTTCTGTTTAGATAGGTGAGTTTTCTCCCGTATCCAACGAAATCCTCAGAGAGGTCCAAATATCCACTTGCAGATTCTACAGAAAGTGTGTTTTGAAACTGCTCCATCCAAAGGAATGTTCAGCTCTGTGAGTTGAACTCAATCGTCACAAAGTGTTTCCTGGGAATGCTACTGTCTAGTTTTTATGGGCAGTTATATCCTCTGCTGCCATAGGCCTCAAAGCGGTCCAAATCTCCCCTTTCAGATTCTACCAAAAGTGTGTTTCCAAACGGCTCTATCAAAGGGAATGTTCAACTCTGTGACTTGAATGCAATCATCACAAAGCAGTTTCTGAGAATGCTTCCATGTAGCTTTTATGAGCAGATATTTCCTTTTCCACCCCAGGCCTCGAAGCCCTCCAAATGTCCCCTTGCAGATGCTAGAAAGAGAGGGTTTCAAAGCTGCTCTATCAAAAGGAAAGTACAACTCTGTGAGATGAATGCAAACATCACAAAGAAGTTCCTGAGCATGCTTCCGTTTAGCTTTTATGGGAAGATTATCCCTTTTCCATCGAAATGTTCAAAGAGGTCCACATATCCGCTTGCAGATTCCACCGAAAGAGCGTTTCCAAACTGCTGTATCAAAAGGAATCTTCAACTCCGTGAGTTGAATGCAATCATCACAAAGAAGTTTCTGACAACGCTTCTCTCTAGTTTGTATGTGAAGATATTTCCTTTTCCACCACAGGCCTGAAAGCGCTCCAAATGTCCACTTGGAGACTCTACGAAAAGAATGTTTCAAAACTGCTCTATGAAAAGCAATGTTATACTCTGGGAGTTGAACACAAGCCTCACAAAGGAGTTTCTGAGAATGCTTCTGTTTACTTTTTACGTGAAGATATTCCCGTTTCCAAAGAAATCTTCACAGGCTTCCACCTATCCATTTGCAGATGCTAGAAAAAGAGAGTTTCAAAACTGCTCTATCAAAAGGAATGTTCAACTCTGTGAGTTGAATGCAGTCATCACAGAGAAGTTTCTGAGAAGGCTTCTGTCTAGATTTCATGTGAAGATATAGCCGTTTCGAACAAAGGCCACAAAGTGCTCCAAATATCCACTTGCAGGTCCTCCAACAAGAGTGTTTCAAACGTGAACTATCAAAGGAAGGTTCAACTCTGGACTTTGAATGCAAACGTCAGAAAGATGTTTCTGCGAAAGCTTCTGTTTAGTTAGGTGACGTTATCCCGTTTCCAACGAAATCCTCAGAGAGGTCCAAATATCCACCTGCAGATACTGCAAAAAGTGTGTTTCCAAACTGCTCCACCCAAAGGCATGTTCAGCTCTGTGAGTTAAACTCAATCATCACAAAGTATTTTCTGAGAATGCTTCTGTCCAGTTTTTACATGAAGCTGTTTCCTTTACTACAGTAGGCCTCAAAGCGTTCCAAATCTCCACTTGCAGATACTACGAAAAGAGCGTTTCAACCTGAACTCACGAGGGAAGGTTCAACTCTGTCAGTTGAATGCCAACATCACAAAGAAGTTCTGGGAATGTTTCTCTTCAGTTATGTGAGTTTTATCCCGTTTCCAACGAAATTCTCAGAGAAGTACAAATATCCACTTGCATATTCGACAAAAAGTGTGTTTTGAAAGTGCTCCATCAAAAGATATGTTCAGCTCTGTGAGTTAAACTCAATCATCACAAAGAATTTTCTGAGAATGCTTCTGTCTTGTTTTAGGATGAAGTTATTTCCTTTACGACGATAGGCCTCAAAGAGGTCCAAATCTCCACTTGCAGATTCTGCAGAAGGAGTGTTTCAAACCTGAACTATCAGAGAAAGGTTCAACACTGTGAGTTGAATGCAAGCATTACGAAGAAGGTTCTGAGAATGCCTCTGTTTAGATAGGTGAGTTTTCTCCCGTATCCAACGAAATCCTCAGAGAGGTCCAAATATCCACTTGCAGATTCTACAGAAAGTGTGTTTTGAAACTGCTCCATCCAAAGGAATGTTCAGCTCTGTGAGTTGAACTCAATCGTCACAAAGTGTTTCCTGGGAATGCTACTGTCTAGTTTTTATGGGCAGTTATATCCTCTGCTGCCATAGGCCTCAAAGCGGTCCAAATCTCCCCTTTCAGATTCTACCAAAATTGTGTTTCCAAACGGCTCTATCAAAGGGAATGTTCAACTCTGTGACTTGAATGCAATCATCACAAAGCAGTTTCTGAGAATGCTTCCATGTAGCTTTTATGAGAAGATATTTCCTTTTCCAGCCCAGGCCTCGAAGCCCTCCAAATGTCCCCTGGCAGATGCTAGAAAGAGAGGGTTTCAAAGCTGCTCTATCAAAAGGAAAGTACAACTCTGTGAGTTGAATGCAAACATCACAAAGAAGCTCCTGAGCATGCTTCCGTTTAGCTTTCATGGGAAGATTATCCCTTTTCCATCGAAATGTTCAAAGAGGTCCACATATCCGCTTGCAGATTCCACCGAAAGAGTGTTTCCAAACTGCTGTATCAAAAGGAATCTTCAACTCCGTGAGTTGAATGCAATCATCACAAAGAAGTTTCTGACAATGCTTCTCTCTAGTTTTTATGTGAAGATATTTCCTTTTCCACCACAGGCCTGAAAGCGCTCCAAATGTCCACTTGGAGACTCTACGAAAAGAATGTTTCAAAACTGCTCTATGAAAAGCAATGTTATACTCTGGGAGTTGAACACAAGCCTCACAAAGGAGTTTCTGAGAATGCTTCTGTTTACTTTTTACGTGAAGATATTCCCGTTTCCAAAGAAATCTTCACAGACTTCCACCTATCCATTTGCAGATGCTAGAAAAAGAGAGTTTCAAAACTGCTCTATCAAAAGGAATGTTCAACTCTGTGAGTTGAATGCAGTCATCACAGAGAAGTTTCTGAGAAGGCTTCTGTCTAGATTTTATGTGAAGATATACCCGTTTCGAACGAAGGCCACAAAGTGCTCCAAATATCCACTTGCAGGTCCTCCAACAAGAGTGTTTCAAACGTGAACTATCAAAGGAAGGTTCAACTCTGGACTTTGAATGCAAACGTCAGAAAGATGTTTCTGCGAAAGCTTCTGTTTAGTTAGGTGACGTTATCCCTTTTCCAACGAAATCCTCAGAGAGGTCCAAATATCCACCTGCAGATTCTGCAAAAACTGTGTTTCCAAACTGCTCCACCCAAAGGCATGTTCAGCTCTGTGAGTTAAACTCAATCATCACAAAGTATTTTCTGAGAATGCTTCTGTCCAGTTTTTACATGAAGCTGTTTCCTTTACTACCGTAGGCCTCAAAGCGTTCCAAATCTCCACTTGCAGATACTACGAAAAGAGCGTTTCAACCTGAACTCACAAGGGAAGGTTCAACTCTGTCAGTTGAATGCCAACGTCACAAAGAAGTTCTGGGAATGTTTCTCTTCAGTTATGTGAGTTTTATCCCGTTTCCAACGAAATTCTCAGAGAAGTACAAATATCCACTTGCATATTCTACAAAAAGTGTGTTTTGAAAGTGCTCCATCAAAAGATATGCTCAGCTCTGTGAGTTAAACTCAATCATCACAAAGAATTTTCTGAGAATGCTTCTGTCTTGTTTTAGGATGAAGTTATTTCCTTTACGACGATAGGCCTCAAAGAGGTCCAAATCTCCACTTGCAGATTCTGCAGAAGGAGTGTTTCAAACCTGAACTATCAGAGAAAGGTTCAACACTGTGAGTTGAATGCAAGCATCACGAAGAAGGTTCTGAGAATGCTTCTGTTTAGATAGGTGAGTTTTCTCCCGTATCCAACGAAATCCTCAGAGAGGTCCAAATATCCACTTGCAGATTCTACAGAAAGTGTGTTTTGAAACTGCTCCATCCAAAGGAATGTTCAGCTCTGTGAGTTGAACTCAATCGTCACAAAGTGTTTCCTGGGAATGCTACTGTCTAGTTTTTATGGGCAGTTATATCCTCTGCTGCCATAGGCCTCAAAGCGGTCCAAATCTCCCCTTTCAGATTCTACCAAAAGTGTGTTTCCAAACGGCTCTATCAAAGGGAATGTTCAACTCTGTGACTTGAATGCAATCATCACAAAGCAGTTTCTGAGAATGCTTCCATGTAGCTTTTATGAGCAGATATTTCCTTTTCCACCCCAGGCCTCGAAGCCCTCCAAATGTCCCCTTGCAGATGCTAGAAAGAGAGGGTTTCAAAGCTGCTCTATCAAAAGGAAAGTACAACTCTGTGAGTTGAATGCAAACATCACAAAGAAGTTCCTGAGCATGCTTCCGTTTAGCTTTTATGGGAAGATTATCCCTTTTCCATCGAAATGTTCAAAGAGGTCCACATGTCCGCTTGCAGATTCCACCGAAAGAGTGTTTCCAAACTGCTGTATCAAAAGGAATCTTCAACTCCGTGAGTTGAATGCAATCATCACAAAGAAGTTTCTGACAACGCTTCTCTCTAGTTTTTATGTGAAGATATTTCCTTTTCCACCACAGGCCTGAAAGCGCTCCAAATGTCCACTTGGAGACTCTACGAAAAGAATGTTTCAAAACTGCTCTATGAAAAGCAATGTTATACTCTGGGAGTTGAACACAAGCCTCACAAAGGAGTTTCTGAGAATGCTTCTGTTTACTTTTTACGTGAAGATATTCCCGTTTCCAAAGAAATCTTCACAGACTTCCACCTATCCATTTGCAGATGCTAGAAAAAGAGAGTTTCAAAACTGCTCTATCAAAAGGAATGTTCAACTCTGTGAGTTGAATGCAGTCATCACAGAGAAGTTTCTGAGAAGGCTTCTGTCTAGATTTTATGTGAAGATATACCCGTTTCGAACGAAGGCCACAAAGTGCTCCAAATATCCACTTGCAGGTCCTCCAACAAGAGTGTTTCAAACGTGAACTATCAAAGGAAGGTTCAACTCTGGACTTTGAATGCAAACGTCAGAAAGATGTTTCTGCGAAAGCTTCTGTTTAGTTAGGTGACGTTATCCCGTTTCCAACGAAATCCTCAGAGAGGTCCAAATATCCACCTGCAGATTCTGCAAAAAGTGTGTTTCCAAACTGCTGCACCCAAAGGCATGTTCAGCTCTGTGAGTTAAACTCAATCATCACAAAGTATTTTCTGAGAATGCTTCTGTCCAGTTTTTACATGAAGCTGTTTCCTTTACTACCGTAGGCCTCAAAGCGTTCCAAATCTCCACTTGCAGATACTACGAAAAGGGCGTTTCAACCTGAACTCACAAGGGAAGGTTCAACTCTGTCAGTTGAATGCCAACATCACAAAGAAGTTCTGGGAATGTTTCTCTTCAGTTATGTGAGTTTTATCCCGTTTCCAACGAAATTCTCAGAGAAGTACAAATATCCACTTGCATATTCTACACAAAGTGTGTTTTGAAAGTGCTCCATCAAAAGATATGCTCAGCTCTGTGAGTTAAACTCAATCATCACAAAGAATTTTCTGAGAATGCTTCTGTCTTGTTTTAGGATGAAGTTATTTCCTTTACGACGATAGGCCTCAAAGAGGTCCAAATCTCCACTTGCAGATTCTGCAGAAGGAGTGTTTCAAACCTGAACTATCAGAGAAAGGTTCAACACTGTGAGTTGAATGCAAGCATCACGAAGAAGGTTCTGAGAATGCTTCTGTTTAAATAGGTGAGTTTTCTCCCGTATCCAACGAAATCCTCAGAGAGGTCCAAATATCCACTTGCAGATTCTACAGAAAGTGTGTTTTGAAACTGCTCCATCCAAAGGAATGTTGAGCTCTGTGAGTTGAACTCAATCGTCACAAAGTGTTTCCTGGGAATGCTACTGTCTAGTTTTTATGGGCAGTTATATCCTCTGCTGCCATAGGCCTCAAAGCGGTCCAAATCTCCCCTTTCAGATTCTACCAAAAGTGTGTTTCCAAACGGCTCTATCAAAGGGAATGTTCAACTCTGTGACTTGAATGCAATCATCACAAAGCAGTTTCTGAGAATGCTTCCATGTAGCTTTTATGAGCAGATATTTCCTTTTCCACCCCAGGCCTCGAAGCCCTCCAAATGTCCCCTTGCAGATGCTAGAAAGAGAGGGTTTCAAAGCTGCTCTATCAAAAGGAAAGTACAACTCTGTGAGTTGAATGCAAACATCACAAAGAAGTTCCTGAGCATGCTTCCGTTTAGCTTTTATGGGAAGATTATCCCTTTTCCATCGAAATGTTCAAAGAGGTCCACATATCCGCTTGCGGATTCCACCGAAAGAGTGTTTCCAAACTGCTGTATCAAAAGGAATCTTCAACTCCGTGAGTTGAATGCAATCATCACAAAGAAGTTTCTGACAACGCTTCTCTCTAGTTTTTATGTGAAGATATTTCCTTTTCCACCACAGGCCTGAAAGCGCTCCAAATGTCCACTTGGAGACTCTACGAAAAGAATGTTTCAAAACTGCTCTATGAAAAGCAATGTTATACTCTGGGAGTTGAACACAAGCCTCACAAAGGAGTTTCTGAGAATGCTTCTGTTTACTTTTTACGTGAAGATATTCCCGTTTCCAAAGAAATCTTCACAGACTTCCACCTATGCATTTGCAGATGCTAGAAAAAGAGAGTTTCAAAACTGCTCTATCAAAAGGAATGTTCAACTCTGTGAGTTGAATGCAGTCATCACAGAGAAGTTTCTGAGAAGGCTTCTGTCTAGATTTTATGTGAAGATATACCCGTTTCGAACAAAGGCCACAAAGTGCTCCAAATATCCACTTGCAGGTCCTCCAACAAGAGTGTTTCAAACGTGAACTATCAAAGGAAGGTTCAACTCTGGACTTTGAATGCAAACGTCAGAAAGATGTTTCTGCGAAAGCTTCTGTTTAGTTAGGTGACGTTATCCCGTTTCCAACGAAATCCTCAGAGAGGTCCAAATATCCACCTGCAGATTCTGCAAAAAGTGTGTTTCCAAACTGCTCCACCCAAAGGCATGTTCAGCTCTGTGAGTTAAACTCAATCATCACAAAGTATTTTCTGAGAATGCTTCTGTCCAGTTTTTACATGAAGCTGTTTCCTTTACTACCGTAGGCCTCAAAGCGTTCCAAATCTCAACTTGCAGATACTACGAAAAGGGCGTTTCAACCTGAACTCTCAAGGGAAGGTTCAACTCTGTCAGTTGAATGCCAACATCACAAAGAAGTTCTGGGAGTGTTTCTCTTCAGTTATGTGAGTTTTATCCCGTTTCCAACGAAATTCTCAGAGAAGTACAAATATCCACTTGCATATTCTACAAAAAGTGTGTTTTGAAAGTGCTCCATCAAAAGATATGCTCAGCTCTGTGAGTTAAACTCAATCATCACAAAGAATTTTCTGAGAATGCTTCTGTCTTGTTTTAGGATGAAGTTATTTCCTTTACGACGATAGGCCTCAAAGAGGTCCAAATCTCCACTTGCAGATTCTGCAGAAGGAGTGTTTCAAACCTGAACTATCAGAGAAAGGTTCAACACTGTGAGTTGAATGCAAGCATCACGAAGAAGGTTCTGAGAATGCTTCTGTTTAGATAAGTGAGTTTTCTCCCGTATCCAACGAAATCCTCAGAGAGGTCCAAATATCCACTTGCAGATTCTACAGAAAGAGTGTTTTCAGACTGCTCCATCCAAAGGAATGTTCAGCTCTGTGAGTTGAACTCAATCGTCACAAAGTGTTTCCTGGGAATGCTACTGTCTAGTTTTTATGGGCAGTTATATCCTCTGCTGCCATAGGCCTCAAAGCGGTCCAAATCTCCCCTTTCAGATTCTACCAAAAGTGTGTTTCCAAACGGCTCTATCAAAGGGAATGTTCAACTCTGTGACTTGAATGCAATCATCACAAAGCAGTTTCTGAGAATGCTTCCATGTAGCTTTTATGAGCAGATATTTCCTTTTCCACCCCAGGCCTCGAAGCCCTCCAAATGTCCCCTGGCAGATGCTAGAAAGAGAGGGTTTCAAAGCTGCTCTATCAAAAGGAAAGTACAACTCTGTGAGTTGAATGCAAACATCACAAAGAAGTTCCTGAGCATGCTTCCGTTTAGCTTTTATGGGAAGATTATCCCTTTTCCATCGAAATGTTCAAAGAGGTCCACATATCCGCTTGCGGATTCCACCGAAAGAGTGTTTCCAAACTGCTGTATCAAAAGGAATCTTCAACTCCGTGAGTTGAATGCAATCATCACAAAGAAGTTTCTGACAACGCTTCTCTCTAGTTTTTATGTGAAGATATTTCCTTTTCCACCACAGGCCTGAAAGCGCTCCAAATGTCCACTTGGAGACTCTACGAAAAGAATGTTTCAAAACTGCTCTATGAAAAGCAATGTTATACTCTGGGAGTTGAACACAAGCCTCACAAAGGAGTTTCTGAGAATGCTTCTGTTTACTTTTTACGTGAAGATATTCCCGTTTCCAAAGAAATCTTCACAGACTTCCACCTATCCATTTGCAGATGCTACAAAAAGAGAGTTTCAAAACTGCTCTATCAAAAGGAATGTTCAACTCTGTGAGTTGAATGCAGTCATCACAGAGAAGTTTCTGAGAAGGCTTCTGTCTAGATTTTATGTGAAGATATACCCGTTTCGAACGAAGGCCACAAAGTGCTCCAAATATCCACTTGCAGGTCCTCCAACAAGAGTGTTTCAAACGTGAACTATCAAAGGAAGGTTCAACTCTGGACTTTGAATGCAAACGTCAGAAAGATGTTTCTGCGAAAGCTTCTGTTTAGTTAGGTGACGTTATCCCGTTTCCAAGGAAATCCTCAGAGAGGTCCAAATATCCACCTGCAGATTCTGCAAAAAGTGTGTTTCCAAACTGCTCCACCCAAAGGCATGTTCAGCTCTGTGAGTTAAACTCAATCATCACAAAGTATTTTCTGAGAATGCTTCTGTCCAGTTTTTACATGAAGCTGTTTCCTTTACTACCGTAGGCCTCAAAGCGTTCCAAATCTCCACTTGCAGATACTACGAAAAGGGCGTTTCAACCTGAACTCACAAGGGAAGGTTCAACTCTGTCAGTTGAATGCCAACATCACAAAGAAGTTCTGGGAATGTTTCTCTTCAGTTATGTGAGTTTTATCCCGTTTCCAACGAAATTCTCAGAGAAGTACAAATATCCACTTGCATATTCTACAAAAAGTGTGTTTTGAAAGTGCTCCATCATAAGATATGCTCAGCTCTGTGAGTTAAACTCAATCATCACAAAGAATTTTCTGAGAATGCTTCTGTCTTGTTTTAGGATGAAGTTATTTCCTTTACGACGATAGGCCTCAAAGAGGTCCAAATCTCCACTTGCAGATTCTGCAGAAGGAGTGTTTCAAACCTGAACTATCAGACAAAGGTTCAACACTGTGAGTTGAATGCAAGCATCACGAAGAAGGTTCTGAGAATGCTTCTGTTTAGATAGGTGAGTTTTCTCCCGTATCCAACGAAATCCTCAGAGAGGTCCAAATATCCACTTGCAGATTCTACAGAAAGTGTGTTTTGAAACTGCTCCATCCAAAGGAATGTTCAGCTCTGTGAGTTGAACTCAATCGTCACAAAGTGTTTCCTGGGAATGCTACTGTCTAGTTTTTATGGGCAGTTATATCCTCTGCTGCCATAGGCCTCAAAGCGGTCCAAATCTCCCCTTTCAGATTCTACCAAAAGTGTGTTTCCAAACGGCTCTATCAAAGGGAATGTTCAACTCTGTGACTTGAATGCAATCATCACAAAGCAGTTTCTGAGAATGCTTCCATGTAGCTTTTAGGAGAAGATATTTCCTTTTCCACCCCAGGCCTCGAAGCCCTCCAAATGTCCCCTTGCAGATGCTAGAAAGAGAGGGTTTCAAAGCTGCTCTATCAAAAGGAAAGTACAACTCTGTGAGTTGAATGCAAACATCACAAAGAAGCTCCTGAGCATGCTTCCGTTTAGCTTTCATGGGAAGATTATCCCTTTTCCATCGAAATGTTCAAAGAGGTCCACATATCCGCTTGCAGATTCCACCGAAAGAGTGTTTCCAAACTGCTGTATCAAAAGGAATCGTCAACTCCGTGAGTTGAATGCAATCATCACAAAGAAGTTTCTGACAATGCTTCTCTCTAGTTTTTATGTGAAGATATTTCCTTTTCCACCACAGGCCTGAAAGCGCTCCAAATGTCCACTTGGAGACTCTACGAAAAGAATGTTTCAAAACTGCTCTATGAAAAGCAATGTTATACTCTGGGAGTTGAACACAAGCCTCACAAAGGAGTTTCTGAGAATGCTTCTGTTTACTTTTTACGTGAAGATATTCCCGTTTCCAAAGAAATCTTCACAGACTTCCACCTATCCATTTGCAGATGCTAGAAAAAGAGAGTTTCAAAACTGCTCTATCAAAAGGAATGTTCAACTCTGTGAGTTGAATGCAGTCATCACAGAGAAGTTTCTGAGAAGGCTTCTGTCTAGATTTTATGTGAAGATATAGCCGTTTCGAACAAACGCCACAAAGTGCTCCAAATATCCACTTGCAGGTCCTCCAACAAGAGTGTTTCAAACGTGAACTATCAAAGGAAGGTTCAACTCTGGACTTTGAATGCAAACGTCAGAAAGATGTTTCTGCGAAAGCTTCTGTTTAGTTAGGTGACGTTATCCCGTTTCCAACGAAATCCTCAGAGAGGTCCAAATATCCACCTGCAGATTCTGCAAAAAGTGTGTTTCCAAACTGCTCCACCCAAAGGCATGTTCAGCTCTGTGAGTTAAACTCAATCATCACAAAGTATTTTCTGAGAATGCTTCTGTCCAGTTTTTACATGAAGCTGTTTCCTTTACTACCGTAGGCCTCAAAGCGTTCCAAATCTCCACTTGCAGATACTACGAAAAGGGCGTTTCAACCTGAACTCACAAGGGAAGGTTCAACTCTGAGAGTTGAATGCCAACATCACAAAGAAGTTCTGGGAATGTTTCTCTTCAGTTATGTGAGTTTTATCCCGTTTCCAACGAAATTCTCAGAGAAGTACAAATATCCACTTGCATATTCTACACAAAGTGTGTTTTGAAAGTGCTCCATCAAAAGATATGCTCAGCTCTGTGAGTTAAACTCAATCATCACAAAGAATTTTCTGAGAATGCTTCTGTCTTGTTTTAGGATGAAGTTATTTCCTTTACGACGATAGGCCTCAAAGAGGTCCAAATCTCCACTTGCAGATTCTGCAGAAGGAGTGTTTCAAACCTGAACTATCAGAGAAAGGTTCAACACTGTGAGTTGAATGCAAGCATCACGAAGAAGGTTCTGAGAATGCTTCTGTTTAGATAGGTGAGTTTTCTCCCGTATCCAACGAAATCCTCAGAGAGGTCCAAATATCCCCTTGCAGATTCTACAGAAAGTGTGTTTTGAAACTGCTCCATCCAAAGGAATGTTCAGCTCTGTGAGTTGAACTCAATCGTCACAAAGTGTTTCCTGGGAATGCTACTGTCTAGTTTTTATGGGCAGTTATATCCTCTGCTGCCATAGGCCTCAAAGCGGTCCAAATCTCCCCTTTCAGATTCTACCAAAAGTGTGTTTCCAAACGGCTCTATCAAAGGGAATGTTCAACTCTGTGACTTGAATGCAATCATCACAAAGCAGTTTCTGAGAATGCTTCCATGTAGCTTTTATGAGCAGATATTTCCTTTTCCACCCCAGGCCTCGAAGCCCTCCAAATGTCCCCTTGCAGATGCTAGAAAGAGAGGGTTTCAAAGCTGCTCTATCAAAAGGAAAGTACAACTCTGTGAGTTGAATGCAAACATCACAAAGAAGCTCCTGAGCATGCTTCCGTTTAGCTTTCATGGGAAGATTATCCCTTTTCCATCGAAATGTTCAAAGAGGTCCACATATCCGCTTGCAGATTCCACCGAAAGAGTGTTTCCAAACTGCTGTATCAAAAGGAATCGTCAACTCCGTGAGTTGAATGCAATCATCACAAAGAAGTTTCTGACAACGCTTCTCTCTAGTTTTTATGTGAAGATATTTCCTTTTCCACCACAGGCCTGAAAGCGCTCCAAATGTCCACTTGGAGACTCTACGAAAAGAATGTTTCAAAACTGCTCTATGAAAAGCAATGTTATACTCTGGGAGTTGAACACAAGCCTCACAAAGGACTTTCTGAGAATGCTTCTGTTTACTTTTTACGTGAAGATATTCCCGTTTCCAAAGAAATCTTCACAGACTTCCACCTATCCATTTGCAGATGCTAGAAAAAGAGAGTTTCAAAACTGCTCTATCAAAAGGAATGTTCAACTCTGTGAGTTGAATGCAGTCATCACAGAGAAGTTTCTGAGAAGGCTTCTGTCTAGATTTTATGTGAAGATATACCCGTTTTGAACGAAGGCCACAAAGTGCTCCAAATATCCACTTGCAGGTCCTCCAACAAGAGTGTTTCAAACGTGAACTATCAAAGGAAGGTTCAACTCTGGACTTTGAATGCAAACGTCAGAAAGATGTTTCTGCGAAAGCTTCTGTTTAGTTAGGTGACGTTATCCCGTTTCCAACGAAATCCTCAGAGAGGTCCAAATATCCACCTGCAGATTCTGCAAAAAGTGTGTTTCCAAACTGCTCCACCCAAAGGCATGTTCAGCTCTGTGAGTTAAACTCAATCATCACAAAGTATTTTCTGAGAATGCTTCTGTCCAGTTTTTACATGAAGCTGTTTCCTTTACTACCGTAGGCCTCAAAGCGTTACAAATCTCCACTTGCAGATACTACGAAAAGAGCGTTTCAACCTGAACTCACGAGGGAATGTTCAACTCTGTCAGTTGAATGCCAACATCACAAAGAAGTTCTGGGAATGTTTCTCTTCAGTTATGTGAGTTTTATCCCGTTTCCAACGAAATTCTCAGAGAAGTACAAATATCCACTTGCATATTCTACAAAAAGTGTGTTTTGAAAGTGCTCCATCAAAAGATATGCTCAGCTCTGTGAGTTAAACTCAATCATCACAAAGAATTTTCTGAGAATGCTTCTGTCTTGTTTTAGGATGAAGTTATTTCCTTTACGACGATAGGCCTCAAAGAGGTCCAAATCTCCACTTGCAGATTCTGCAGAAGGAGTGTTTCAAACCTGAACTATCAGAGAAAGGTTCAACACTGTGAGTTGAATGCAAGCATCACGAAGAAGGTTCTGAGAATGCTTCTGTTTAGATAGGTGAGTTTTCTCCCGTATCCAACGAAATCCTCAGAGAGGTCCAAATATCCACTTGCAGATTCTACAGAAAGTGTGTTTTGAAACTGCTCCATCCAAAGGAATGTTCAGCTCTGTGAGTTGAACTCAATCGTCACAAAGTGTTTCCTGGGAATGCTACTGTCTAGTTTTTATGGGCAGTTATATCCTCTGCTGCCATAGGCCTCAAAGCGGTCCAAATCTCCCCTTTCAGATTCTACCAAAAGTGTGTTTCCAAACGGCTCTATCAAAGGGAATGTTCAACTCTGTGACTTGCATGCAATCATCACAAAGCAGTTTCTGAGAATGCTTCCATGTAGCTTTTATGAGAAGATATTTCCTTTTCCACCCCAGGCCTCGAAGCCTTCCAAATGTCCCCTTGCAGATGCTAGAAAGAGAGGGTTTCAAAGCTGCTCTATCAAAAGGAAAGTACAACTCTGTGAGTTGAATGCAAACATCACAAAGAAGTTCCTGAGCATGCTTCCGTTTAGCTTTCATGGGAAGATTATCCCTTTTCCATCGAAATGTTCAAAGAGGTCCACATATCCGCTTGCAGATTCCACCGAAAGAGTGTTTCCAAACTGCTGTATCAAAAGGAATCTTCAACTCCGTGAGTTGAATGCAATCATCACAAAGAAGTTTCTGACAATGCTTCTCTCTAGTTTTTATGTGAAGATATTTCCTTTTCCACCACAGGCCTGAAAGCGCTCCAAATGTCCACTTGGAGACTCTACGAAAAGAATGTTTCAAAACTGCTCTATGAAAAGCAATGTTATACTCTGGGAGTTGAACACAAGCCTCACAAAGGACTTTCTGAGAATGCTTCTGTTTACTTTTTACGTGAAGATATTCCCGTTTCCAAAGAAATCTTCACAGAGTTCCACCTATCCATTTGCAGATGCTAGAAAAAGAGAGTTTCAAAACTGCTCTATCAAAAGGAATGTTCAACTCTGTGAGTTGAATGCAGTCATCACAGAGAAGTTTCTGAGAAGGCTTCTGTCTAGATTTTATGTGAAGATATACCCGTTTCGAACGAAGGCCACAAAGTGCTCCAAATATCCACTTGCAGGTCCTCCAACAAGAGTGTTTCAAACGTGAACTATCAAAGGAAGGTTCAACTCTGGACTTTGAATGCAAACGTCAGAAAGATGTTTCTGCGAAAGCTTCTGTTTAGTTAGGTGACGTTATCCCGTTTCCAACGAAATCCTCAGAGAGGTCCAAATATCCACCTGCAGATTCTGCAAAAAGTGTGTTTCCAAACTGCTCCACCCAAAGGCATGTTCAGCTCTGTGAGTTAAACTCAATCATCACAAAGTATTTTCTGAGAATGCTTCTGTCCAGTTGTTACATGAAGCTGTTTCCTTTACTACCGTAGGCCTCAAAGCGTTCCAAATCTCCACTTGCAGATACTACGAAAAGAGCGTTTCAACCTGAACTCACAAGGGAAGGTTCAACTCTGTCAGTTGAATGCCAACATCACAAAGATGTTCTGGGAAAGTTTCTCTTCAGTTATGTGAGTTTTATCCCGTTTCCAACGAAATTCTCAGAGAAGTACAAATATCCACTTGCAGATTCTACAAAAAGTGTGTTTTGAAAGTGCTCCATCAAAAGATATGCTCAGCTCTGTGAGTTAAACTCAATCATCACAAATAATTTTCTGAGAATGCTTCTGTCTTGTTTTAGGATGAAGTTATTTCCTTTACGACGATAGGCCTCAAAGAGGTCCAAATCTCCACTTGCAGATTCTGCAGAAGGAGTGTTTCAAACCTGAACTATCAGAGAAAGGTTCAACACTGTGAGTTGAATGCAAGCATCACGAAGAAGGTTCTGAGAATGCTTCTGTTTAAATAGGTGAGTTTTCTCCCGTATCCAACGAAATCCTCAGAGAGGTCCAAATATCCACTTGCAGATTCTACAGAAAGTGTGTTTTGAAACTGCTCCATCCAAAGGAATGTTGAGCTCTGTGAGTTGAACTCAATCGTCACAAAGTGTTTCCTGGGAATGCTACTGTCTAGTTTTTATGGGCAGTTATATCCTCTGCTGCCATAGGCCTCAAAGCGGTCCAAATCTCCCCTTTCAGATTCTACCAAAAGTGTGTTTCCAAACGGCTCTATCAAAGGGAATGTTCAACTCTGTGACTTGAATGCAATCATCACAAAGCAGTTTCTGAGAATGCTTCCATGTAGCTTTTAGGAGAAGATATTTCCTTTTCCACCCCAGGCCTCGAAGCCCTCCAAATGTCCCCTGGCAGATGCTAGAAAGAGAGGGTTTCAAAGCTGCTCTATCAAAAGGAAAGTACAACTCTGTGAGTTGAATGCAAACATCACAAAGAAGTTCCTGAGCATGCTTCCGTTTAGCTTTTATGGGAAGATTATCCCTTTTCCATCGAAATGTTCAAAGAGGTCCACATATCCGCTTGCGGATTCCACCGAAAGAGTGTTTCCAAACTGCTGTATCAAAAGGAATCTTCAACTCCGTGAGTTGAATGCAATCATCACAAAGAAGTTTCTGACAACGCTTCTCTCTAGTTTTTATGTGAAGATATTTCCTTTTCCACCACAGGCCTGAAAGCGCTCCAAATGTCCACTTGGAGACTCTACGAAAAGAATGTTTCAAAACTGCTCTATGAAAAGCAATGTTATACTCTGGGAGTTGAACACAAGCCTCACAAAGGAGTTTCTGAGAATGCTTCTGTTTACTTTTTACTTGAAGATATTCCCGTTTCCAAAGAAATCTTCACAGGCTTCCACCTGTCCATTTGCAGATGCTAGAAAAAGAGAGTTTCAAAACTGCTCTATCAAAAGGAATGTTCAACTCTGTGAGTTGAATGCAGTCATCACAGAGAAGTTTCTGAGAAGGCTTCTGTCTAGATTTTATGTGAAGATATACCCGTTTCGAACAAAGGCCACAAAGTGCTCCAAATATCCACTTGCAGGTCCTCCAACAAGAGTGTTTCAAACGTGAACTATCAAAGGAAGGTTCAACTCTGGACTTTGAATGCAAACGTCAGAAAGATGTTTCTGCGAAAGCTTCTGTTTAGTTAGGTGACGTTATCCCGTTTCCAACGAAATCCTCAGAGAGGTCCAAATATCCACCTGCAGATTCTGCAAAAAGTGTGTTTCCAAACTGCTCCACCCAAAGGCATGTTCAGCTCTGTGAGTTAAACTCAATCATCACAAAGTATTTTCTGAGAATGCTTCTGTCCAGTTTTTACATGAAGCTGTTTCCTTTACTACCGTAGGCCTCAAAGCGTTCCAAATCTCCACTTGCAGATACTACGAAAAGAGCGTTTCAACCTGAACTCACGAGGGAAGGTTCAACTCTGTCAGTTGAATGCCAACATCACAAAGAAGTTCTGGGAATGTTTCTCTTCAGTTATGTGAGTTTTATCCCGTTTCCAACGAAATTCTCAGAGAAGTACAAATATCCACTTGCATATTCTACAAAAAGTGTGTTTTGAATGTGCTCCATCAAAAGATATGCTCACCTCTGTGAGTTAAACTCAATCATCACAAAGAATTTTCTGAGAATGCTTCTGTCTTGTTTTAGGATGAAGTTATTTCCTTTACGACGATAGGCCTCAAAGAGGTCCAAATCTCCACTTGCAGATTCTGCAGAAGGAGTGTTTCAAACCTGAACTATCAGAGAAAGTTTCAGCACTGTGAGTTGAATGCAAGCATCACGAAGAAGGTTCTGAGAATGCCTCTGTTTAGATAGGTGAGTTTTCTCCCGTATCCAACGAAATCCTCAGAGAGGTCCAAATATCCACTTGCAGATTCTACAGAAAGTGTGTTTTGAAACTGCTCCATCCAAAGGAATGTTCAGCTCTGTGAGTTGAACTCAATCGTCACAAAGTGTTTCCTGGGAATGCTACTGTCTAGTTTTTATGGGCAGTTATATCCTCTGCTGCCATAGGCCTCAAAGCGGTCCAAATCTCCCCTTTCAGATTCTACCAAAAGTGTGTTTCCAAACGGCTCTATCAAAGGGAATGTTCAACTCTGTGACTTGAATGCAATCATCACAAAGCAGTTTCTGAGAATGCTTCCATGTAGCTTTTATGAGCAGATATTTCCTTTTCCACCCCAGGCCTCGAAGCCCTCCAAATGTCCCCTTGCAGATGCTAGAAAGAGAGGGTTTCAAAGCTGCTCTATCAAAAGGAAAGTACAACTCTGTGAGTTGAATGCAAACATCACAAAGAAGTTCCAGAGCATGCTTCCGTTTAGCTTTTATGGGAAGATTATCCCTTTTCCATCGAAATGTTCAAAGGGTTCCACATATCCGCTTGCAGATTCCACCGAAAGAGTGTTTCCAAACTGCTGTATCAAAAGGAATCTTCAACTCCGTGAGTTGAATGCAATCATCACAAAGAAGTTTCTGACAATGCTTCTCTCTAGTTTTTATGTGAAGATATTTCCTTTTCCACCACAGGCCTGAAAGCGCTCCAAATGTCCACTTGGAGACTCTACGAAAAGAATGTTTCAAAACTGCTCTATGAAAAGCAATGTTATACTCTGGGAGTTGAACACAAGCCTCACAAAGGAGTTTCTGAGAATGCTTCTGTTTACTTTTTACGTGAAGATATTCCCGTTTCCAAAGAAATCTTCACAGGCTTCCACCTATCCATTTGCAGATGCTAGAAAAAGAGAGTTTCAAAACTGCTCTATCAAAAGGAATGTTCAACTCTGTGAGTTGAATGCAGTCATCACAGAGAAGTTTCTGAGAAGGCTTCTGTCTAGATTTTATGTGAAGATATAGCCGTTTCGAACAAAGGCCACAAAGTGCTCCAAATATCCACTTGCAGGTCCTCCAACAAGAGTGTTTCAAACGTGAACTATCAAAGGAAGGTTCAACTCTGGACTTTGAATGCAAACGTCAGAAAGATGTTTCTGCGAAAGCTTCTGTTTAGTTAGGTGACGTTATCCCGTTTCCAACGAAATCCTCAGAGAGGTCCAAATATCCACCTGCAGATTCTGCAAAAAGTGTGTTTCCAAACTGCTCCAACCAAAGGCATGTTCAGCTCTGTGAGTTAAACTCAATCATCACAAAGTATTTTCTGAGAATGCTTCTGTCCAGTTTTTACATGAAGCTGTTTCCTTTACTACCGTAGGCCTCAAAGCGTTCCAAATCTCCACTTGCAGATACTACGAAAAGAGCGTTTCAACCTGAACTCACAAGGGAAGGTTCAACTCTGTCAGTTGAATGCCAACATCACAAAGAAGTTCTGGGAATGTTTCTCTTCAGTTATGTGAGTTTTATCCCGTTTCCAACGAAATTCTCAGAGAAGTACAAATATCCACTTGCATATTCTACAAAAAGTGTGTTTTGAAAGTGCTCCATCAAAAGATATGCTCAGCTCTGTGAGTTAAACTCAATCATCACAAAGAATTTTCTGAGAATGCTTCTGTCTTGTTTTAGGATGAAGTTATTTCCTTTACGACGATAGGCCTCAAAGAGGTCCAAATCTCCACTTGCAGATTCTGCAGAAGGAGTGTTTCAAACCTGAACTATCAGAGAAAGGTTCAACACTGTGAGTTTTATGCAAGCATCACGAAGAAGGTTCTGAGAATGCTTCTGTTTAGATAGGTGAGTTTTCTCCCGTATCCAACGAAATCCTCAGAGAGGTCCAAATATCCACTTGCAGATTCTACAGAAAGTGTGTTTTGAAACTGCTCCATCCAAAGGAATGTTCAGCTCTGTGAGTTGAACTCAATCGTCACAAAGTGTTTCCTGGGAATGCTACTGTCTAGTTTTTATGGGCAGTTATATCCTCTGCTGCCATAGGCCTCAAAGCGGTCCAAATCTCCCCTTTCAGATTCTACCAAAAGTGTGTTTCCAAACGGCTCTATCAAAGGGAATGTTCAACTCTGTGACTTGAATGCAATCATCACAAAGCAGTTTCTGAGAATGCTTCCATGTAGCTTTAATGAGCAGATATTTCCTTTTCCACCCCAGGCCTCGAAGCCCTCCAAATGTCCCCTTGCAGATGCTAGAAAGAGAGGGTTTCAAAGCTGCTCTATCAAAAGGAAAGTACAACTCTGTGAGTTGAATGCAAACATCACAAAGAAGCTCCTGAGCATGCTTCCGTTTAGCTTTTATGGGAAGATTATCCCTTTTCCATCGAAATGTTCAAAGAGGTCCACATATCCGCTTGCAGATTCCACCGAAAGAGTGTTTCCAAACTGCTGTATCAAAAGGAATCTTCAACTCCGTGAGTTGAATGCAATCATCACAAAGAAGTTTCTGACAACGCTTCTCTCTAGTTTTTATGTGAAGATATTTCCTTTTCCACCACAGGCCTGAAAGCGCTCCAAATGTCCACTTGGAGACTCTACGAAAAGAATGTTTCAAAACTGCTCTATGAAAAGCAATGTTATACTCTGGGAGTTGAACACAAGCCTCACAAAGGAGTTTCTGAGAATGCTTCTGTTTACTTTTTACGTGAAGATATTCCCGTTTCCAAAGAAATCTTCACAGACTTCCACCTATCCATTTGCAGATGCTTGAAAAAGAGAGTTTCAAAACTGCTCTATCAAAAGGAATGTTCAACTCTGTGAGTTGAATGCAGTCATCACAGAGAAGTTTCTGAGAAGGCTTCTGTCTAGATTTTATGTGAAGATATACCCGTTTCGAACGAAGGCCACAAAGTGCTCCAAATATCCACTTGCAGGTCCTCCAACAAGAGTGTTTCAAACGTGAACTATCAAAGGAAGGTTCAACTCTGGACTTTGAATGCAAACGTCAGAAAGATGTTTCTGCGAAAGCTTCTGTTTAGTTAGGTGACGTTATCCCGTTTCCAACGAAATCCTCAGAGAGGTCCAAATATCCACCTGCAGATTCTGCAAAAAGTGTGTTTCCAAACTGCTCCACCCAAAGGCATGTTCAGCTCTGTGAGTTAAACTCAATCATCACAAAGTATTTTCTGAGAATGCTTCTGTCCAGTTTTTACATGAAGCTGTTTCCTTTACTACCGTAGGCCTCAAAGCGTTCCAAATCTCCACTTGCAGATACTACGAAAAGGGCGTTTCAACCTGAACTCACGAGGGAAGGTTCAACTCTGTCAGTTGAATGCCAACATCACAAAGAAGTTCTGGGAATGTTTCTCTTCAGTTATGTGAGTTTTATCCCGTTTCCAACGAAATTCTCAGAGAAGTACAAATATCCACTTGCATATTCTACAAAAAGTGTGTTTTGAAAGTGCTCCATCAAAAGATATGCTCAGCTCTGTGAGTTAAACTCAATCATCACAAAGAATTTTCTGAGAATGCTTCTGTCTTGTTTTAGGATGAAGTTATTTCCTTTACGACGATAGGCCTCAAAGAGGTCCAAATCTCCACTTGCAGATTCTGCAGAAGGAGTGTTTCAAACCTGAACTATCAGAGAAAGGTTCAACACTGTGAGTTGAATGCAAGCATCACGAAGAAGGTTCTGAGAATGCTTCTGTTTAGATAGGTGAGTTTTCTCCCGTATCCAACGAAATCCTCAGAGAGGTCCAAATATCCACTTGCAGATTCTACAGAAAGTGTGTTTTGAAACTGCTCCATCCAAAGGAATGTTCAGCTCTGTGAGTTGAACTCAATCGTCACAAAGTGTTTCCTGGGAATGCTACTGTCTAGTTTTTATGGGCAGTTATATCCTCTGCTGCCATAGGCCTCAAAGCGGTCCAAATCTCCCCTTTCAGATTCTACCAAAAGTGTGTTTCCAAACGGCTCTATCAAAGGGAATGTTCAACTCTGTGACTTGAATGCAATCATCACAAAGCAGTTTCTGAGAATGCTTCCATGTAGCTTTTAGGAGCAGATATTTCCTTTTCCACCCCAGGCCTCGAAGCCCTCCAAATGTCCCCTTGCAGATGCTAGAAAGAGAGGGTTTCAAAGCTGCTCTATCAAAAGGAAAGTACAACTCTGTGAGTTGAATGCAAACATCACAAAGAAGTTCCTGAGCATGCTTCCGTTTAGCTCTTATGGGAAGATTATCCCTTTTCCATCGAAATGTTCAAAGAGGTCCACATATCCGCTTGCAGATTCCACCGAAAGAGTGTTTCCAAACTGCTGTATCAAAAGGAATCTTCAACTCCGTGAGTTGAATGCAATCATCACAAAGAAGTCTCTGACAACGCTTCTCTCTAGTTTTTATGTGAAGATATTTCCTTTTCCACCACAGGCCTGAAAGCGCTCCAAATGTCCACTTGGAGACTCTACGAAAAGAATGTTTCAAAACTGCTCTATGAAAAGCAATGTTATACTCTGGGAGTTGAACACAAGCCTCACAAAGGAGTTTCTGAGAATGCTTCTGTTTACTTTTTACGTGAAGATATTCCCGTTTCCAAAGAAATCTTCACAGACTTCCACCTATCCATTTGCAGATGCTAGAAAAAGAGAGTTTCAAAACTGCTCTATCAAAAGGAATGTTCAACTCTGTGAGTTGAATGCAGTCATCACAGAGAAGTTTCTGAGAAGGCTTCTGTCTAGATTTTATGTGAAGATATACCCGTTTCGAACGAAGGCCACAAAGTGCTCCAAATATCCACTTGCAGGTCCTCCAACAAGAGTGTTTCAAACGTGAACTATCAAAGGAAGGTTCAACTCTGGACTTTGAATGCAAACGTCAGAAAGATGTTTCTGCGAAAGCTTCTGTTTAGTTAGGTGACGTTATCCCGTTTCCAACGAAATCCTCAGAGAGGTCCAAATATCCACCTGCAGATTCTGCAAAAAGTGTGTTTCCAAACTGCTCCACCCAAAGGCATGTTCAGCTCTGTGAGTTAAACTCAATCATCACAAAGTATTTTCTGAGAATGCTTCTGTCCAGTTTTTACATGAAGCTGTTTCCTTTACTACCGTAGGCCTCAAAGCGTTCCAAATCTCCACTTGCAGATACTACGAAAAGAGCGTTTCAACCTGAACTCACGAGGGAAGGTTCAACTCTGTCAGTTGAATGCCAACATCACAAAGAAGTTCTGGGAATGTTTCTCTTCAGTTATGTGAGTTTTATCCCGTTTCCAACGAAATTCTCAGAGAAGTACAAATATCCACTTGCATATTCTACAAAAAGTGTGTTTTGAAAGTGCTCCATCAAAAGATATGCTCAGCTCTGTGAGTTAAACTCAATCATCACAAAGAATTTTCTGAGAATGCTTCTGTCTTGTTTTAGGATGAAGTTATTTCCTTTACGACGATAGGCCTCAAAGAGGTCCAAATCTCCACTTGCAGATTCTGCAGAAGGAGTGTTTCAAACCTGAACTATCAGAGAAAGGTTCAACACTGTGAGTTGAATGCAAGCATCACGAAGAAGGTTCTGAGAATGCCTCTGTTTAGATAGGTGAGTTTTCTCCCTTATCCAACGAAATCCTCAGAGAGGTCCAAATATCCACTTGCAGATTCTACCGAAAGTGTGTTTTGAAACTGCTCCATCCAAAGGAATGTTCAGCTCAGTGAGTTGAACTCAATCGTCACAAAGTGTTTCCTGGGAATGCTACTGTCTAGTTTTTATGGACAGTTATATCCTCTGCTGCCATAGGCCTCAAAGCGGTCCAAATCTCCCCTTTCAGATTCTACCAAAAGTGTGTTTCCAAACGGCTCTATCAAAGGGAATGTTCAGCTCTGTGACTTGAATGCAATCATCACAAAGCAGTTTCTGAGAATGCTTCCATGTAGCTTTTATGAGCAGATATTTCCTTTTCCACCCCAGGCCTCGAAGCCCTCCAAATGTCCCCTGGCAGATGCTAGAAAGAGAGGGTTTCAAAGCTGCTCTATCAAAAGGAAAGTACAACTCTGTGAGTTGAATGCAAACATCACAAAGAAGCTCCTGAGCATGCTTCCGTTTAGCTTTTATGGGAAGATTATCCCTTTTCCATCGAAATGTTCAAAGAGGTCCACATATCCGCTTGCGGATTCCACCGAAAGAGTGTTTCCAAACTGCTGTATCAAAAGGAATCTTCAACTCCGTGAGTTGAATGCAATCATCACAAAGAAGTTTCTTACAATGCTTCTCTCTAGTTTTTATGTGAAGATATTTCCTTTTCCACCACAGGCCTGAAAGCGCTCCAAATGTCCACTTGGAGACTCTACGAAAAGAATGTTTCAAAACTGCTCTATGAAAAGCAATGTTATACTCTGGGAGTTGAACACAAGCCTCACAAAGGAGTTTCTGAGAATGCTTCTGTTTACTTTTTACGTGAAGATATTCCCGTTTCCAAAGAAATCTTCACAGACTTCCACCTATGCATTTGCAGATGCTAGAAAAAGAGAGTTTCAAAACTGCTCTATCAAAAGGAATGTTCAACTCTGTGAGTTGAATGCAGTCATCACAGAGAAGTTTCTGAGAAGGCTTCTGTCTAGATTTTATGTGAAGATATACCCGTTCCGAACAAAGGCCACAAAGTGCTCCAAATATCCACTTGCAGGTCCTCCAACAAGAGTGTTTCAAACGTGAACTATCAAAGGAAGGTTCAACTCTGGACTTTGAATGCAAACGTCAGAAAGATGTTTCTGCGAAAGCTTCTGTTTAGTTAGGTGACGTTATCCCGTTTCCAACGAAATCCTCAGAGAGGTCCAAATATCCACCTGCAGATTCTGCAAAAAGTGTGTTTCCAAACTGCTCCACCCAAAGGCATGTTCAGCTCTGTGAGTTAAACTCAATCATCACAAAGTATTTTCTGAGAATGCTTCTGTCCAGTTTTTACATGAAGCTGTTTCCTTTACTACCGTAGGCCTCAAAGCGTTCCAAATCTCCACTTGCAGATACTACGAAAAGGGCGTTTCAACCTGAACTCACAAGGGAAGGTTCAACTCTGAGAGTTGAATGCCAACATCACAAAGAAGTTCTGGGAATGTTTCTCTTCAGTTACGTGAGTTTTATCCCGTTTCCAACGAAATTCTCAGAGAAGTACAAATATCCACTTGCATATTCTACAAAAAGTGTGTTTTGAAAATGCTCCATCAAAAGATATGCTCAGCTCTGTGAGTTAAACTCAATCATCACAAAGAATTTTCTGAGAATGCTTCTGTCTTGTTTTAGGATGAAGTTATTTCCTTTACGACGATAGGCCTCAAAGAGGTCCAAATCTCCACTTGCAGATTCTGCAGAAGGAGTGTTTCAAACCTGAACTATCAGAGAAAGGTTCAACACTGTGAGTTGAATGCAAGCATCACGAAGAAGGTTCTGAGAATGCTTCTGTTTAGATAGGTGAGTTTTCTCCCGTATCCAACGAAATCCTCAGAGAGGTCCAAATATCCACTTGCAGATTCTACAGAAAGTGTGTTTTGAAACTGCTCCATCCAAAGGAATGTTCAGCTCTGTGAGTTGAACTCAATCGTCACAAAGTGTTTCCTGGGAATGCTACTGTCTAGTTTTTATGGGCAGTTATATCCTCTGCTGCCATAGGCCTCAAAGCGGTCCAAATCTCCCCTTTCAGATTCTACCAAAAGTGTGTTTCCAAACGGCTCTATCAAAGGGAATGTTCAACTCTGTGACTTGAATGCAATCATCACAAAGCAGTTTCTGAGAATGCTTCCATGTAGCTTTTAGGAGCAGATATTTCCTTTTCCACCCCAGGCCTCGAAGCCCTCCAAATGTCCCCTTGCAGATGCTAGAAAGAGAGGGTTTCAAAGCTGCTCTATCAAAAGGAAAGTACAACTCTGTGAGATGAATGCAAACATCACAAAGAAGTTCCTGAGCATGCTTCCGTTTAGCTTTTATGGGAAGATTATCCCTTTTCCATCGAAATGTTCAAAGAGGTCCACATATCCGCTTGCAGATTCCACCGAAAGAATGTTTCCAAACTGCTGTATCAAAAGGAATCTTCAACTCCGTGAGTTGAATGCAATCATCACAAAGAAGTTTCTGACAACGCTTCTCTCTAGTTTTTATGTGAAGATATTTCCTTTTCCACCACAGGCCTGAAAGCGCTCCAAATGTCCACTTGGAGACTCTACGAAAAGAATGTTTCAAAACTGCTCTATGAAAAGCAATGTTATACTCTGGGAGTTGAACACAAGCCTCACAAAGGAGTTTCTCAGAATGCTTCTGTTTACTTTTTACGTGAAGATATTCCAGTTTCCAAAGAAATCTTCACAGGCTTCCACCTATCCATTTGCAGATGCTAGAAAAAGGGAGTTTCAAAACTGCTCTATCAAAAGGAATGTTCAACTCTGTGAGTTGAATGCAGTCATCACAGAGAAGTTTCTGAGAAGGCTTCTGTCTAGATTTTATGTGAAGATATACCCGTTTCGAACAAAGGCCACAAAGTGCTCCAAATATCCACTTGCAGGTCCTCCAACAAGAGTGTTTCAAACGTGAACTATCAAAGAAAGGTTCAACTCTGGACTTTGAATGCAAACGTCAGAAAGATGTTTCTGCGAAAGCTTCTGTTTAATTAGGTGACGTTATCCCGTTTCCAACGAAATCCTCAGAGAGGTCCAAATATCCACCTGCAGATTCTGCAAAAAGTGTGTTTCCAAACTGCTCCACCCAAAGGCATGTTCAGCTCTGTGAGTTAAACTCAATCATCACAAAGTATTTTCTGAGAATGCTTCTGTCCAGTTTTTACATGAAGCTGTTTCCTTTACTACCGTAGGCCTCAAAGCGTTCCAAATCTCCACTTGCAGATACTACGAAAAGAGCGTTTCAACCTGAACTCACAAGGGAAGGTTCAACTCTTTCAGTTCAATGCCAACATCACAAAGAAATTCTGGGAATGTTTCTCTTCAGTTATGTGAGTTTTATCCCGTTTCCAACGAAATTCTCAGAGAAGTACAAATATCCACTTGCATATTCTACAAAAAGTGTGTTTTGAAAGTGCTCCATCAAAAGATATGCTCAGCTCTGTGAGTTAAACTCAATCATCACAAAAATTTTCTGAGAATGCTTCTGTCTTGTTTTAGGATGAAGTTATTTCCTTTACGACGATAGGCCTCAAAGAGGTCCAAATCTCCACTTGCAGATTCTGCAGAAGGAGTGTTTCAAACCTGAACTATCAGAGAAAGGTTCAACACTGTGAGTTGAATGCAAGCATCACGAAGAAGGTTCTGAGAATGCTTCTGTTTAGATAAGTGAGTTTTCTCCCGTATCCAACGAAATCCTCAGAGAGGTCCAAATATCCACTTGCAGATTCTACAGAAAGTGTGTTTTGAAACTGCTCCATCCAAAGGAATGTTCAGCTCTGTGAGTTGAACTCAATCGTCACAAAGTATTTCCTGGGAATGCTACTGTCTAGTTTTTATGTGCAGTTATATCCTCTGCTGCCATAGGCCTCAAAGCGGTCGAAATCTCCCCTTTCAGATTCTACCAAAAGTGTGTTTCCAAACGGCTCTATCAAAGGGAATGTTCAACTCTGTGACTTGAATGCAATCATCACAAAGCAGTTTCTGAGAATGCTTCCATGTAGCTTTTATGAGCAGATATTTCCTTTTCCACCCCAGGCCTCGAAGCCCTCCAAATGTCCCATTGCAGATGCTAGAAAGAGAGGGTTTCAAAGCTGCTCTATCAAAAGGAAAGTACAACTCTGTGAGTTGAATGCAAACATCACAAAGAAGTTCCTGAGCATGCTTCCGTTTAGCTTTTATGGGAAGATTATCCCTTTTCCATCGAAATGTTCAAAGAGGTCCACATATCCGCTTGCAGATTCCACCGAAAGAGTGTTTCCAAACTGCTGTATCAAAAGGAATCTTCAACTCCGTGAGTTGAATGCAATCATCACAAAGAAGTTTCTGACAACGCTTCTCTCTAGTTTTTATGTGAAGATATTTCCTTTTCCACCACAGGCCTGAAAGCGCTCCAAATGTCCACTTGGAGACTCTACGAAAAGAATGTTTCAAAACTGCTCTATGAAAAGCAATGTTATACTCTGGGAGTTGAACACAAGCCTCACAAAGGAGTTTCTGAGAATGCTTCTGTTTACTTTTTACGTGAAGATATTCCCGTTTCCAAAGAAATCTTCACAGACTTCCACCTATCCATTTGCAGATGCTAGAAAAAGAGAGTTTCAAAACTGCTCTATCAAAAGGAATGTTCAACTCTGTGAGTTGAATGCAGTCATCACAGAGAAGTTTCTGAGAAGGCTTCTGTCTAGATTTTATGTGAAGATATACCCGTTTCGAACGAAGGCCACAAAGTGCTCCAAATATCCACTTGCAGGTCCTCCAACAAGAGTGTTTCAAACGTGAACTATCAAAGGAAGGTTCAACTCTGGACTTTGAATGCAAACGTCAGAAAGATGTTTCTGCGAAAGCTTCTGTTTAGTTAGGTGACGTTATCCCGTTTCCAAGGAAATCCTCAGAGAGGTCCAAATATCCACCTGCAGATTCTGCAAAAAGTGTGTTTCCAAACTGCTCCACCCAAAGGCATGTTCAGCTCTGTGAGTTAAACTCAATCATCACAAAGTATTTTCTGAGAATGCTTCTGTCCAGTTTTTACATGAAGCTGTTTCCTTTACTACCGTAGGCCTCAAAGCGTTCCAAATCTCCACTTGCAGATACTACGAAAAGGGCGTTTCAACCTGAACTCACAAGGGAAGGTTCAACTCTGTCAGTTGAATGCCAACATCACAAAGAAGTTCTGGGAATGTTTCTCTTCAGTTATGTGAGTTTTATCCCGTTTCCAACGAAATTCTCAGAGAAGTACAAATATCCACTTGCATATTCTACACAAAGTGTGTTTTGAAAGTGCTCCATCAAAAGATATGCTCAGCTCTGTGAGTTAAACTCAATCATCACAAAGAATTTTCTGAGAATGCTTCTGTCTTGTTTTAGGATGAAGTTATTTCCTTTACGACGATAGGCCTCAAAGAGGTCCAAATCTCCACTTGCAGATTCTGCAGAAGGAGTGTTTCAAACCTGAACTATCAGAGAAAGGTTCAACACTGTGAGTTGAATGCAAGCATCACGAAGAAGGTTCTGAGAATGCTTCTGTTTAGATAGGTGAGTTTTCTCCCGTATCCAACGAAATCCTCAGAGAGGTCCAAATATCCACTTGCAGATTCTACAGAAAGTGTGTTTTGAAACTGCT
Source organism: Homo sapiens (assembly GCF_000001405.40). NCBI lineage: Eukaryota > Metazoa > Chordata > Mammalia > Primates > Hominidae > Homo > Homo sapiens. Next base: position 122,280,772 of record NC_000001.11, on the reverse strand, counting down.
CCATCCAAAGGAATGTTCAGCTCTGTGAGTTGAACTCAATCGTCACAAAGTGTTTCCTGGGAATGCTACTGTCTAGTTTTTATGGGCAGTTATATCCTCTGCTGCCATAGGCCTCAAAGCGGTCCAAATCTCCCCTTTCAGATTCTACCAAAAGTGTGTTTCCAAACGGCTCTATCAAAGGGAATGTTCAACTCTGTGACTTGAATGCAATCATCACAAAGCAGTTTCTGAGAATGCTTCCATGTAGCTTTTAGGAGAAGATATTTCCTTTTCCACCCCAGGCCTCGAAGCCCTCCAAATGTCCCCTTGCAGATGCTAGAAAGAGAGGGTTTCAAAGCTGCTCTATCAAAAGGAAAGTACAACTCTGTGAGTTGAATGCAAACATCACAAAGAAGCTCCTGAGCATGCTTCCGTTTAGCTTTTATGGGAAGATTATCCCTTTTCCATCGAAATGTTCAAAGGGTTCCACATATCCGCTTGCAGATTCCACCGAAAGAGTGTTTCCAAACTGCTGTATCAAAAGGAATCTTCAACTGCCGTGAGTTGAATGCAATCATCACAAAGAAGTTTCTGACAATGCTTCTCTCTAGTTTTTATGTGAAGATATTTCCTTTTCCACCACAGGCCTGAAAGCACTCCAAATGTCCACTTGGAGACTCTACGAAAAGAATGTTTCAAAACTGCTCTATGAAAAGCAATGTTATACTCTGGGAGTTGAACACAAGCCTCACAAAGGAGTTTCTGAGAATGCTTCTGTTTACTTTTTACGTGAAGATATTCCCGTTTCCAAAGAAATCTTCACAGACTTCCACCTATCCATTTGCAGATGCTAGAAAAAGAGAGTTTCAAAACTGCTCTATCAAAAGGAATGTTCAACTCTGTGAGTTGAATGCAGTCATCACAGAGAAGTTTCTGAGAAGGCTTCTGTCTAGATTTTATGTGAAGATATACCCGTTTCGAACAAAGGCCACAAAGTGCTCCAAATATCCACTTGCAGGTCCTCCAACAAGAGTGTTTCAAACGTGAACTATCAAAGGAAGGTTCAACTCTGGACTTTGAATGCAAACGTCAGAAAGATGTTTCTGCGAAAGCTTCTGTTTAGTTAGGTGACGTTATCCCGTTTCCAACGAAATCCTCAGAGAGGTCCAAATATCCACCTGCAGATTCTGCAAAAAGTGTGTTTCCAAACTGCTCCACCCAAAGGCATGTTCAGCTCTGTGAGTTAAACTCAATCATCACAAAGTATTTTCTGAGAATGCTTCTGTCCAGTTTTTACATGAAGCTGTTTCCTTTACTACCGTAGGCCTCAAAGCGTTCCAAATCTCCACTTGCAGATACTACGAAAAGAGCGTTTCAACCTGAACTCACAAGGGAAGGTTCAACTCTGAGAGTTGAATGCCAACATCACAAAGAAGTTCTGGGAATGTTTCTCTTCAGTTATGTGAGTTTTATCCCGTTTCCAACGAAATTCTCAGAGAAGTACAAATATCCACTTGCATATTCTACAAAAAGTGTGTTTTGAAAGTGCTCCATCAAAAGATATGCTCAGCTCTGTGAGTTAAACTCAATCATCACAAAGAATTTTCTGAGAATGCTTCTGTCTTGTTTTAGGATGAAGTTATTTCCTTTACGACGATAGGCCTCAAAGAGGTCCAAATCTCCACTTGCAGATTCTGCAGAAGGAGTGTTTCAAACCTGAACTATCAGAGAAAGGTTCAACACTGTGAGTTGAATGCAAGCATCACGAAGAAGGTTCTGAGAATGCTTCTGTTTAGATAGGTGAGTTTTCTCCCGTATCCAACGAAATCCTCAGAGAGGTCCAAATATCCACTTGCAGATTCTACAGAAAGTGTGTTTTGAAACTGCTCCATCCAAAGGAATGTTCAGCTCTGTGAGTTGAACTCAATCGTCACAAAGTGTTTCCTGAGAATGCTACTGTCTAGTTTTTATGGGCAGTTATATCCTATGCTGCCATAGGCCTCAAAGCGGTCCAAATCTCCCCTTTCAGATTCTACCAAAAGTGTGTTTCCAAACGGCTCTATCAAAGGGAATGTTCAACTCTGTGACTTGAATGCAATCATCACAAAGCAGTTTCTGAGAATGCTTCCATCTAGCTTTTATGGGAAGATATTTCCTTTTCCACCACAGGCCGCGAAGCCCTCCAAATGTCCACTTGCAGGTTCTAGAAAGAGAGGGTTTCAAAGCGGCTCTATCTAAAGGAAAGTACAACTCTGTGAGTTGAATGCAAACATCACAAAGAAGTTTCTGAGAATGTTTCCGTTTAGCTTTTATGGGAAGATTATCCGTTTTCCATCGAAATGTTCAAAGAGGTCCACATATCCGCTTGCAGATTCCACCGAATGAGTGTTTCCAAACTGCTGTATCAAAAGGAATCTTCAACTCCGTGAGTTGAATGCAATCATCACAAAGAAGTTTCTGACAACGCTTCTCTCTAGTTTTTATGTGAAGATATTTCCTTTTCCACCACAGGCCTGAAAGCGCTCCAAATGTCCACTTGGAGACTCTACGAAAAGAATCTTTCAAAACTGCTCTATCAAAAGCAATGTTATACTCTGGGAGTTGAACACAAGCCTCACAAAGGAGTTTCTCAGAATGCTTCTGTTTACTTTTTACGTGAAGATATTCCAGTTTCCAAAGAAATCTTCACAGGCTTCCACCTATCCATTTGCAGATGCTAGAAAAAGGGAGTTTCAAAACTGCTCTATCAAAAGGAATGTTCAACTCTGTGAGTTGAATGCAGTCATCACAGAGAAGTTTCTGAGAAGGCTTCTGTCTAGATTTTATGTGAAGATATACCCGTTCCGAACGAAGGCCACAAAGTGCTCCAAATATCCACTTGCAGGTCCTCCAACAAGAGTGTTTCAAACGTGAACTATCAAAGGAAGGTTCAACTCTGGACTTTGAATGCAAACGTCAGAAAGATGTTTCTGCGAAAGCTTCTGTTTAGTTAGGTGACGTTATCCCGTTTCCAACGAAATCCTCAGAGAGGTCCAAATATCCACCTGCAGATTCTGCAAAAAGTGTGTTTCCAAACTGCTCCACCCAAAGGCATGTTCAGCTCTGTGAGTTAAACTCAATCATCACAAAGTATTTTCTGAGAATGCTTCTGTCCAGTTTTTACATGAAGCTGTTTCCTTTACTACCGTAGGCCTCAAAGCGTTCCAAATCTCCACTTGCAGATACTACGAAAAGAGCGTTTCAACCTCAACTCACAAGGGAAGGTTCAACTCTGTCAGTTGAATGCCAACATCACAAAGAAGTTCTGGGAATGTTTCTCTTCAGTTATGTGAGTTTTATCCCGTTTCCAACGAAATTCTCAGAGAAGTACAAATATCCACTTGCATATTCTACAAAAAGTGTGTTTTGAAAGTGCTCCATCAAAAGATATGCTCAGCTCTGTGAGGTAAACTCAATCATCACAAAGAATTTTCTGAGAATGCTTCTGTCTTGTTTTAGGATGAAGTTATTTCCTTTACGACGATAGGCCTCAAAGAGGTCCAAATCTCCACTTGCAGATTCTGCAGAAGGAGTGTTTCAAACCTGAACTATCAGAGAAAGGTTCAACACTGTGAGTTGAATGCAAGCATCACGAAGAAGGTTCTGAGAATGCTTCTGTTTAGATAGGTGAGTTTTCTCCCGTATCCAACGAAATCCTCAGAGAGGTCCAAATATCCACTTGCAGATTCCACAGAAAGTGTGTTTTGAAACTGCTCCATCCAAAGGAATGTTCAGCTCTGTGAGTTGAACTCAATCGTCACAAAGTGTTTCCTGGGAATGCTACTGTCTAGTTTTTATGGGCAGTTATATCCTCTGCTGCCATAGGCCTCAAAGCAGTCCAAATCTCCCCTTTCAGATTCTACCAAAAGTGTGTTTCCAAACGGCTCTATCAAAGGGAATGTTCAACTCTGTGACTTGAATGCAATCATCACAAAGCAGTTTCTGAGAATGCTTCCATGTAGCTTTAATGAGCAGATATTTCCTTTTCCACCCCAGGCCTCGAAGCCCTCCAAATGTCCCCTTGCAGATGCTAGAAAGAGAGGGTTTCAAAGCTGCTCTATCAAAAGGAAAGTACAACTCTGTGAGTTGAATGCAAACATCACAAAGAAGTTCCTGAGCATGCTTCCGTTTAGCTTTCATGGGAAGATTATCCCTTTTCCATCGAAATGTTCAAAGAGGTCCACATATCCGCTTGCAGATTCCACCGAAAGAGTGTTTCCAAACTGCTGTATCAAAAGGAATCTTCAACTCCGTGAGTTGAATGCAATCATCACAAAGAAGTTTCTGACAATGCTTCTCTCTAGTTTTTATGTGAAGATATTTCCTTTTCCACCACAGGCCTGAAAGCGCTCCAAATGTCCACTTGGAGACTCTACGAAAAGAATGTTTCAAAACTGCTCTATGAAAAGCAATGTTATACTCTGGGAGTTGAACACAAGCCTCACAAAGGAGTTTCTGAGAATGCTTCTGTTTACTTTTTACGTGAAGATATTCCCGTTTCCAAAGAAATCTTCACAGACTTCCACCTATCCATTTGCAGATGCTAGAAAAAGAGAGTTTCAAAACTGCTCTATCAAAAGGAATGTTCAACTCTGTGAGTTGAATGCAGTCATCACAGAGAAGTTTCTGAGAAGGCTTCTGTCTAGATTTTATGTGAAGATATACCCGTTTCGAACGAAGGCCACAAAGTGCTCCAAATATCCACTTGCAGGTCCTCCAACAAGAGTGTTTCAAACGTGAACTATCAAAGGAAGGTTCAACTCTGGACTTTGAATGCAAACGTCAGAAAGATGTTTCTGCGAAAGCTTCTGTTTAGTTAGGTGACGTTATCCCGTTTCCAAGGAAATCCTCAGAGAGGTCCAAATATCCACCTGCAGATTCTGCAAAAAGTGTGTTTCCAAACTGCTCCACCCAAAGGCATGTTCAGCTCTGTGAGTTAAACTCAATCATCACAAAGTATTTTCTGAGAATGCTTCTGTCCAGTTTTTACATGAAGCTGTTTCCTTTACTAACGTAGGCCTCAAAGCGTTCCAAATCTCCACTTGCAGATACTACGAAAAGGGCGTTTCAACCTGAACTCACAAGGGAAGGTTCAACTCTGTCAGTTGAATGCCAACATCACAAAGAAGTTCTGGGAATGTTTCTCTTCAGTTATGTGAGTTTTATCCCGTTTCCAACGAAATTCTCAGAGAAGTACAAATATCCACTTGCATATTCTACACAAAGTGTGTTTTGAAAGTGCTCCATCAAAAGATATGCTCAGCTCTGTGAGTTAAACTCAATCATCACAAAGAATTTTCTGAGAATGCTTCTGTCTTGTTTTAGGATGAAGTTATTTCCTTTACGACGATAGGCCTCAAAGAGGTCCAAATCTCCACTTGCAGATTCTGCAGAAGGAGTGTTTCAAACCTGAACTATCAGAGAAAGGTTCAACACTGTGAGTTGAATGCAAGCATCACGAAGAAGGTTCTGAGAATGCTTCTGTTTAGATAGGTGAGTTTTCTCCCGTATCCAACGAAATCCTCAGAGAGGTCCAAATATCCACTTGCAGATTCTACAGAAAGTGTGTTTTGAAACTGCTCCATCCAAAGGAATGTTCAGCTCTGTGAGTTGAACTCAATCGTCACAAAGTGTTTCCTGGGAATGCTACTGTCTAGTTTTTATGGGCAGTTATATCCTCTGCTGCCATAGGCCTCAAAGCGGTCCAAATCTCCCCTTTCAGATTCTACCAAAAGTGTGTTTCCAAACGGCTCTATCAAAGGGAATGTTCAACTCTGTGACTTGAATGCAATCATCACAAAGCAGTTTCTGAGAATGCTTCCATGTAGCTTTAATGAGCAGATATTTCCTTTTCCACCCCAGGCCTCGAAGCCCTCCAAATGTCCCCTTGCAGATGCTAGAAAGAGAGGGTTTCAAAGCTGCTCTATCAAAAGGAAAGTACAATTCTGTGAGTTGAATGCAAACATCACAAAGAAGTTCCTGAGCATGCTTCCGTTTAGCTTTCATGGGAAGATTATCCCTTTTCCATCGAAATGTTCAAAGAGGTCCACATATCCGCTTGCAGATTCCACCGAAAGAGTGTTTCCAAACTGCTGTATCAAAAGGAATCTTCAACTCCGTGAGTTGAATGCAATCATCACAAAGAAGTTTCTGACAATGCTTCTCTCTAGTTTTTATGTGAAGATATTTCCTTTTCCACCACAGGCCTGAAAGCGCTCCAAATGTCCACTTGGAGACTCTACGAAAAGAATGTTTCAAAACTGCTCTATGAAAAGCAATGTTATACTCTGGGAGTTGAACACAAGCCTCACAAAGGACTTTCTGAGAATGCTTCTGTTTACTTTTTACGTGAAGATATTCCCGTTTCCAAAGAAATCTTCACAGACTTCCACCTATCCATTTGCAGATGCTAGAAAAAGAGAGTTTCAAAACTGCTCTATCAAAAGGAATGTTCAACTCTGTGAGTTGAATGCAGTCATCACAGAGAAGTTTCTGAGAAGGCTTCTGTCTAGATTTTATGTGAAGATATACCCGTTTCGAACGAAGGCCACAAAGTGCTCCAAATATCCACTTGCAGGTCCTCCAACAAGAGTGTTTCAAACGTGAACTATCAAAGGAAGGTTCAACTCTGGACTTTGAATGCAAACGTCAGAAAGATGTTTCTGCGAAAGCTTCTGTTTAGTTAGGTGACGTTATCCCGTTTCCAACGAAATCCTCAGAGAGGTCCAAATATCCACCTGCAGATTCTGCAAAAAGTGTGTTTCCAAACTGCTCCACCCAAAGGCATGTTCAGCTCTGTGAGTTAAACTCAATCATCACAAAGTATTTTCTGAGAATGCTTCTGTCCAGTTTTTACATGAAGCTGTTTCCTTTACTACCGTAGGCCTCAAAGCGTTCCAAATCTCCACTTGCAGATACTACGAAAAGGGCGTTTCAACCTGAACTCACAAGGGAAGGTTCAACTCTGTCAGTTGAATGCCAACATCACAAAGAAGTTCTGGGAAGGTTTCTCTTCAGTTATGTGAGTTTTATCCCGTTTCCAACGAAATTCTCAGAGAAGTACAAATATCCACTTGCATATTCTACACAAAGTGTGTTTTGAAAGTGCTCCATCAAAAGATATGCTCAGCTCTGTGAGTTAAACTCAATCATCACAAAGAATTTTCTGAGAATGCTTCTGTCTTGTTTTAGGATGAAGTTATTTCCTTTACGACGATAGGCCTCAAAGAGGTCCAAATCTCCACTTGCAGATTCTGCAGAAGGAGTGTTTCAAACCTGAACTATCAGAGAAAGGTTCAACACTGTGAGTTGAATGCAAGCATCACGAAGAAGGTTCTGAGAATGCTTCTGTTTAGATAGGTGAGTTTTCTCCCGTATCCAACGAAATCCTCAGAGAGGTCCAAATATCCACTTGCAGATTCTACAGAAAGTGTGTTTTGAAACTGCTCCATCCAAAGGAATGTTCAGCTCTGTGAGTTGAACTCAATCGTCACAAAGTGTTTCCTGGGAATGCTACTGTCTAGTTTTTATGGGCAGTTATATCCTCTGCTGCCATAGGCCTCAAAGCGGTCCAAATCTCCCCTTTCAGATTCTACCAAAAGTGTGTTTCCAAACGGCTCTATCAAAGGGAATGTTCAACTCTGTGACTTGCATGCAATCATCACAAAGCAGTTTCTGAGAATGCTTCCATGTAGCTTTTAGGAGAAGATATTTCCTTTTCCACCCCAGGCCTCGAAGCCCTCCAAATGTCCCCTTGCAGATGCTAGAAAGAGAGGGTTTCAAAGCTGCTCTATCAAAAGGAAAGTACAACTCTGTGAGTTGAATGCAAACATCACAAAGAAGCTCCTGAGCATGCTTCCGTTTAGCTTTCATGGGAAGATTATCCCTTTTCCATCGAAATGTTCAAAGAGGTCCACATATCCGCTTGCAGATTCCACCGAAAGAGTGTTTCCAAACTGCTGTATCAAAAGGAATCTTCAACTCCGTGAGTTGAATGCAATCATCACAAAGAAGTTTCTGACAATGCTTCTCTCTAGTTTTTATATGAAGATATTTCCTTTTCCACCACAGGCCTGAAAGCGCTCCAAATGTCCACTTGGAGACTCTACGAAAAGAATGTTTCAAAACTGCTCTATGAAAAGCAATGTTATACTCTGGGAGTTGAACACAAGCCTCACAAAGGAGTTTCTGAGAATGCTTCTGTTTACTTTTTACGTGAAGATATTCCCGTTTCCAAAGCAAATCTTCACAGACTTCCACCTATCCATTTGCAGATGCTAGAAAAAGAGAGTTTCAAAACTGCTCTATCAAAAGGAATGTTCAACTCTGTGAGTTGAATGCAGTCATCACAGAGAAGTTTCTGAGAAGGCTTCTGTCTAGATTTTATGTGAAGATATACCCGTTTCGAACGAAGGCCACAAAGTGCTCCAAATATCCACTTGCAGGTCCTCCAACAAGAGTGTTTCAAACGTGAACTATCAAAGGAAGGTTCAACTCTGGACTTTGAATGCAAACGTCAGAAAGATGTTTCTGCGAAAGCTTCTGTTTAGTTAGGTGACGTTATCCCGTTTCCAACGAAATCCTCAGAGAGGTCCAAATATCCACCTGCAGATTCTGCAAAAAGTGTGTTTCCAAACTGCTCCACCCAAAGGCATGTTCAGCTCTGTGAGTTAAACTCAATCATCACAAAGTATTTTCTGAGAATGCTTCTGTCCAGTTTTTACATGAAGCTGTTTCCTTTACTACCGTAGGCCTCAAAGCGTTCCAAATCTCCACTTGCAGATACTACGAAAAGGGCGTTTCAACCTGAACTCACAAGGGAAGGTTCAACTCTGTCAGTTGAATGCCAACATCACAAAGAAGTTCTGGGAATGTTTCTCTTCAGTTATGTGAGTTTTATCCCGTTTCCAACGAAATTCTCAGAGAAGTACAAATATCCACTTGCATATTCTACAAAAAGTGTGTTTTGAAAGTGCTCCATCAAAAGATATGCTCAGCTCTGTGAGGTAAACTCAATCATCACAAAGAATTTTCTGAGAATGCTTCTGTCTTGTTTTAGGATGAAGTTATTTCCTTTACGACGATAGGCCTCAAAGAGGTCCAAATCTCCACTTGCAGATTCTGCAGAAGGAGTGTTTCAAACCTGAACTATCAGAGAAAGGTTCAACACTGTGAGTTGAATGCAAGCATCACGAAGAAGGTTCTGAGAATGCTTCTGTTTAGATAGGTGAGTTTTCTCCCGTATCCAACGAAATCCTCAGAGAGGTCCAAATATCCACTTGCAGATTCTACAGAAAGTGTGTTTTGAAACTCCTCCATCCAAAGGAATGTTCAGCTCTGTGAGTTGAACTCAATCGTCACAAAGTGTTTCCTGGGAATGCTACTGTCTAGTTTTTATGTGCAGTTATATCCTCTGCTGCCATAGTCCTCAAAGCGGTTCAAATCTCCCCTTTCAGATCCTACCAAAAGTGTGTTTCCAAACGGCTGTATCAAAGGGAATGTTCAACTCTGTGACTTGAATGCAATCATCACAAAGCAGTTTCTGAGAATGCTTCCATGTAGCTTTTATGAGCAGATATTTCCTTTTCCACCCCAGGCCTCGAAGCCCTCCAAATATCCCCTTGCAGATGCTAGAAAGAGAGGGTTTCAAAGCTGCTCTATCAAAAGTAAAGTACAACTCTGTGAGTTGAATGCAAACATCACAAAGAAGTTCCTGAGCATGCTTCCGTTTAGCTTTCATGGGAAGATTATCCCTTTTCCATCGAAATGTTCAAAGAGGTCCGCATATCCGCTTGCAGATTCCACTGAAAGAGTGTTTCCAAACTGCTGTATCAAAAGGAATCTTCAACTCCGTGAGTTGAATGCAATCATCACAAAGAAGTTTCTGACAATGCTTCTCTCTAGTTTTTATGTGAAGATATTTCCTTTTCCACCACAGGCCAGAAAGCGCTCCTAATGTCCACTTGGGGACTCTACGACAAGAATGTTTCAAAACTGCTCTATGAAAAGCAATGTTATTCTCTGGGAGTTGAACACAAGCCTCACAAAGGAGTTTCTGAGAATGCTTCTGTTTACTTTTTACGTGAAGATATTCCCGTTTCCAAAGAAATCTTCACAGAGTTCCACCTATCCATTTGCAGATGCTAGAAAAAGAGAGTTTCAAAACTGCTCTATCAAAAGGAATGTTCAAATCTGTGAGTTGAATGCAATCATCGCAGAGAAGTTTCTGAGAAGGCTTCTGTCTAGATTTTATGTGAAGATATACCCGTTTCGAACAAAGGCCACAAAGTGCTCCAAATATCCACTTGCAGGTCCTCCAACAAGAGTGTTTCAAACGTGAACTATCAAAGGAAGGTTCAACTCTGGACTTTGAATGCAAACGTCAGAAAGATGTTTCTGCGAAAGCTTCTGTATAGTTAGGTGACGTTATCCCGTTTCCAACGAAATCCTCAGAGAGGTCCAAATATCCACCTGCAGATTCTGCAAAAAGTGTGTTTCCAAACTGCTCCACCCAAAGGAATGTTCAGCTCTGTGAGTTAAACTCAATCATCACAAAGTATTTTCTGAGAATGCTTCTGTCCAGTTTTTACATGAAGCTGTTTCCTTTACTACCGTAGGCCTCAAAGCGTTCCAAATCTCCACTTGAAGATACTACGAAAAGAGCGTTTCAACCTGAACTCACAAGGGAAGGTTCAACTCTGTCAGTTGAATGCCAACATCACAAAAAGTTCTGGGAATGTTACTCTTCAGTTATGTGAGTTTTATCCCGTTTCCAACGAAATTCTCAGAGAAGTACAAATATCCACTTGCATATTCTACAAAAAGTGTGTTTTGAAAATGCTCCATCAAAAGATATGCTCAGCTCTGTGAGTTAAACTCAATCATCACAAAGAATTTTCTGAGTATGCTTCTGTCTTGTTTTAGGATGAAGTTATTTCCTTTACGACGATAGGCCTCAAAGAGGTCCAAATCTCCACTTGCAGATTCTGCAGAAGGAGTGTTTCAAACCTGAACTATCAGAGAATGGTTCAACACTGTGTGTTGAATGCAAGCATCACGAAGAAGGTTCTGAGAATGCTTCTGTTTAGATAGGTGAGTTTTCTCCCGTATCCAACGAAATCCTCAGAGAGGTCCAAATATCCACTTGCAGATTCTACAGAAAGTGTGTTTTGAAACTGCTTCATCCAAAGGAATGTTCAGCTCTGTGAGTTGAACTCAATCGTCACAAAGTGTTTCCTGGGGATGCTACTGTCTAGTTTTTATGTGCAGTTATATCCTCTGCTGCCATAGGCCTCAAAGCGGTCCAAATCTCCCCTTTCAGATTCTGCCAAAAGTGTGTTTCCAAACGGCTCTATCAAAGGAAATGTTCAACTCTGTGACTTGAATGCAATCATCACAAAGCAGTTTCTGAGAATGCTTCCATGTAGCTTTTATGAGCAGATATTTCCTTTTCCACCCCAGGCCTCGAAGCCCTCCAAATGTCCCCTTGCAGATGCTAGAAAGAGAGGGTTTCAAAGCTGCTCTATCAAATTAAAGTACAACTCTGTGAGTTCAATGCAAACATCACAAAGAAGTTCCTGAGCATGCTTCCGTTTAGCTTTCATGGGAAGATTATCCCTTTTCCATCGAAATGTTCAAAGAGGTCCACATATCCCCTTGCAGATTCCACCGAAAGAGTGTCTCCAAACTGCTGTATCAAAAGGAATCTTCAACTCCGTGAGTTGAATGCAATCATCACAAAGAAGTTTCTGACAATGCTTCTCTCTAGTTTTTATGTGAAGATATTTCCTTTTCCACCACAGGCCTGAAAGCGCTCCAAATGTCCACTTGGAGACTCTACGAAAAGAATGTTTCAAAACTGCTCTATGAAAAGCAATGTTATACTCTGGGAGTTGAACACAAGCCTCACAAAGGAGTTTCTGAGAATGCTTCTGTTTACTTTTTACGTGAAGATATTCCCGTTTCCAAAGAAATCTTCACAGACTTCCACCTATCCATTTGCAGATGCTAGAAAAAGAGAGTTTCAAAACTGCTCTATCAAAAGGAATGTTCAACTCTGTGAGTTGAATGCAGTCATCACAGAGAAGTTTCTGAGAAGGCTTCTGTCTAGATTTTATGTGAAGATATACCCGTTTCGAACGAAGGCCACAAAGTGCTCCAAATATCCACTTGCAGGTCCTCCAACAAGAGTGTTTCAAACGTGAACTATCAAAGGAAGGTTCAACTCTGGACTTTGAATGCAAACGTCAGAAAGATGTTTCTGCGAAAGCTTCTGTTTAGTTAGGTGACGTTATCCCGTTTCCAACGAAATCCTCAGAGACGTCCAAATATCCACCTGCAGATTCTGCAAAAAGTGTGTTTCCAAACTGCTCCACCCAAAGGCATGTTCAGCTCTGTGAGTTAAACTCAATCATCACAAAGTATTTTCTGAGAATGCTTCTGTCCAGTTTTTACATGAAGCTGTTTCCTTTACTACCGTAGGCCTCAAAGCGTTCCAAATCTCCACTTGCAGATACTACGAAAAGGGCGTTTCAACCTGAACTCACAAGGGAAGGTTCAACTCTGTCAGTTGAATGCCAACATCACAAAGAAGTTCTGGGAATGTTTCTCTTCAGTTATGTGAGTTTTATCCCGTTTCCAACGAAATTCTCAGAGAAGTACAAATATCCACTTGCATATTCTACAAAAAGTGTGTTTTGAAAGTGCTCCATCAAAAGATATGCTCAGCTCTGTGAGTTAAACTCAATCATCACAAAGAATTTTCTGAGAATGCTTCTGTCTTGTTTTAGGATGAAGTTATTTCCTTTACGACGATAGGCCTCAAAGAGGTCCAAATCTCCACTTGCAGATTCTGCAGAAGGAGTGTTTCAAACCTGAACTATCAGAGAAAGGTTCAACACTGTGAGTTGAATGCAAGCATCACGAAGAAGGTTCTGAGAATGCTTCTGTTTAGATAGGTGAGTTTTCTCCCGTATCCAACGAAATCCTCAGAGAGGTCCAAATATCCACTTGCAGATTCTACAGAAAGTGTGTTTTGAAACTGCTCCATCCAAAGGAATGTTCAGCTCTGTGAGTTGAACTCAATCGTCACAAAGTGTTTCCTGGGAATGCTACTGTCTAGTTTTTATGGGCAGTTATATCCTCTGCTGCCATAGGCCTCAAAGCGGTCCAAATCTCCCCTTTCAGATTCTACCAAAAGTGTGTTTCCAAACGGCTCTATCAAAGGGAATGTTCAACTCTGTGACTTGAATGCAATCATCACAAAGCAGTTTCTGAGAATGCTTCCATGTAGCTTTTATGAGCAGATATTTCCTTTTCCACCCCAGGCCTCGAAGCCCTCCAAATGTCCCCTTGCAGATGCTAGAAAGAGAGGGTTTCAAAGCTGCTCTATCAAAAGGAAAGTACAACTCTGTGAGTTGAATGCAAACATCACAAAGAAGTTCCTGAGAATGCTTTCGTTTAGCTTTTATGGGAAAATTATCCGTTTTCCATCGCAATGTTCAAAGAGGTCCACATATCCGCTTGCAGATTCCACCGAAAGAGTGTTTCCAAACTGCTGTATCAAAAGGAATATTCAACTCCCTGAGTTGAATGCAATCATCACAAAGAAGTTTCTGACAATGCTTCTCTCTAGTTTTTATGTGAAGATATTTCCTTTTCCACCACAGGTGTGAAAGCGCTCCAAATGTCCACTTGGAGACTCTACGAAAAGAATGTTTCAAAACTGCTCTATGAAAAGCAATGTTATACTCTGGGAGATGAACATAAGCCTCACAAAGGAGTTTCTCAGAATGCTTCTGTTTACTTTTTACGTGAAGATATTCCCGTTTCCAAAGAAATCTTCACAGAGTTCCACCTATCCATTTGCAGATGCTAGAAAAAGAGAGTTTCAAAACTGCTCTATCAAAAGGAATGTTCAACTCTGTGAGTTGAATGCAGTCATCACAGAGAAGTTTCTGAGAAGGCTTCTGTCTAGATTTTATGTGAAGATATACCCGTTTCGAACAAAGGCCACAAAGTGCTCCAAATATCCACTTGCAGGTCCTCCAACAAGAGTGTTTCAAACGTGAACTATCAAAGGAAGGTTCAACTCTGGACTTTGAATGCAAACGTCAGAAAGATGTTTCTGCGAAAGCTTCTGTTTAGTTAGGTGACGTTATCCCGTTTCCAACGAAATCCTCAGAGAGGTCCAAATATCCACCTGCAGATTCTGCAAAAAGTGTGTTTCCAAACTGCTCCACCCAAAGGCATGTTCAGCTCTGTGAGTTAAACTCAATCATCACAAAGTATTTTCTGAGAATGCTTCTGTCCAGTTTTTACATGAAGCTGTTTCCTTTACTACCGTAGGCCTCAAAGCGTTCCAAATCTCCACTTGCAGATACTACGAAAAGGGCGTTTCAACCTGAACTCACAAGGGAAGGTTCAACTCTGTCAGTTGAATGCCAACATCACAAAGAAGTTCTGGGAATGTTTCTCTTCAGTTATGTGAGTTTTATCCCGTTTCCAACGAAATTCTCAGAGAAGTACAAATATCCACTTGCATATTCTACACAAAGTGTGTTTTGAAAGTGCTCCATCAAAAGATATGCTCAGCTCTGTGAGTTAAACTCAATCATCACAAAGAATTTTCTGAGAATGCTTCTGTCTTGTTTTAGGATGAAGTTATTTCCTTTACGACGATAGGCCTCAAAGAGGTCCAAATCTCCACTTGCAGATTCTGCAGAAGGAGTGTTTCAAACCTGAACTATCAGAGAAAGGTTCAACACTGTGAGTTGAATGCAAGCATCACGAAGAAGGTTCTGAGAATGCTTCTGTTTAGATAGGTGAGTTTTCTCCCGTATCCAACGAAATCCTCAGAGAGGTCCAAATATCCACTTGCAGATTCTACAGAAAGTGTGTTTTGAAACTGCTCCATCCAAAGGAATGTTCAGCTCTGTGAGTTGAACTCAATCGTCACAAACTGTTTCCTGGGAATGCTACTGTCTAGTTTTTATGGGCAGTTATATCCTCTGCTGCCATAGGCCTCAAAGCGGTCCAAATCTCCCCTTTCAGATTCTACCAAAAGTGTGTTTCCAAACGGCTCTATCAAAGGGAATGTTCAACTCTGTGACTTGAATGCAATCATCACAAAGCAGTTTCTGAGAATGCTTCCATGTAGCTTTAATGAGCAGATATTTCCTTTTCCACCCCAGGCCTCGAAGCCCTCCAAATGTCCCCTTGCAGATGCTAGAAAGAGAGGGTTTCAAAGCTGCTCTATCAAAAGGAAAGTACAACTCTGTGAGTTGAATGCAAACATCACAAAGAAGCTCCTGAGCATGCTTCCGTTTAGCTTTTATGGGAAGATTATCCCTTTTCCATCGAAATGTTCAAAGAGGTACACATATCCGCTTGCAGATTCCACCGAAAGAGTGTTTCCAAACTGCTGTATCAAAAGGAATCTTCAACTCCGTGAGTTGAATGCAATCATCACAAAGAAGTTTCTGACAACGCTTCTCTCTAGTTTTTATGTGAAGATATTTCCTTTTCCACCACAGGCCTGAAAGCGCTCCAAATGTCCACTTGGAGACTCTACGAAAAGAATGTTTCAAAACTGCTCTATGAAAAGCAATGTTATACTCTGGGAGTTGAACACAAGCCTCACAAAGGAGTTTCTGAGAATGCTTCTGTTTACTTTTTACGTGAAGATATTCCCGTTTCCAAAGAAATCTTCACAGACTTCCACCTATCCATTTGCAGATGCTTGAAAAAGAGAGTTTCAAAACTGCTCTATCAAAAGGAATGTTCAACTCTGTGAGTTGAATGCAGTCATCACAGAGAAGTTTCTGAGAAGGCTTCTGTCTAGATTTTATGTGAAGATATACCCGTTTCGAACAAAGGCCACAAAGTGCTCCAAATATCCACTTGCAGGTCCTCCAACAAGAGTGTTTCAAACGTGAACTATCAAAGGAAGGTTCAACTCTGGACTTTGAATGCAAACGTCAGAAAGATGTTTCTGCGAAAGCTTCTGTTTAGTTAGGAGACTTTATCCCGTTTCCAAAGAAATCCTCAGAGAGGTCCAAATATCCACCTGCAGATTCTGCAAAAAGTGTGTTTCCAAACTGCTCCACCCAAAGGCATGTTCAGCTCTGTGAGTTAAACTCAATCATCACAAAGTATTTTCTGAGAATGCTTCTGTCCAGTTTTTACATGAAGCTGTTTCCTTTACTACCGTAGGCCTCAAAGCGTTCCAAATCTCCACTTGCAGATACTACGAAAAGGGCGTTTCAACCTGAACTCACAAGGGAAGGTTCAACTCTGTCAGTTGAATGCCAACATCACAAAGAAGTTCTGGGAATGTTTCTCTTCAGTTATGTGAGTTTTATCCCGTTTCCAACGAAATTCTCAGAGAAGTACAAATATCCACTTGCATATTCTACAAAAAGTGTGTTTTGAAAGTGCTCCATCAAAAGATATGCTCAGCTCTGTGAGTTAAACTCAATCATCACAAAGAATTTTCTGAGAATGCTTCTGTCTTGTTTTAGGATGAAGTTATTTCCTTTACGACGATAGGCCTCAAAGAGGTCCAAATCTCCACTTGCAGATTCTGCAGAAGGAGTGTTTCAAACCTGAACTATCAGACAAAGGTTCAACACTGTGAGTTGAATGCAAGCATCACGAAGAAGGTTCTGAGAATGCTTCTGTTTAGATAGGTGAGTTTTCTCCCGTATCCAACGAAATCCTCAGAGAGGTCCAAATATCCACTTGCAGATTCTACAGAAAGTGTGTTTTGAAACTGCTCCATCCAAAGGAATGTTCAGCTCTGTGAGTTGAACTCAATCGTCACAAAGTGTTTCCTGGGAATGCTACTGTCTAGTTTTTATGGGCAGTTATATCCTCTGCTGCCATAGGCCTCAAAGCGGTCCAAATCTCCCCTTTCAGATTCTACCAAAAGTGTGTTTCCAAACGGCTCTATCAAAGGGAATGTTCAACTCTGTGACTTGAATGCAATCATCACAAAGCAGTTTCTGAGAATGCTTCCATGTAGCTTTTATGAGCAGATATTTCCTTTTCCACCCCAGGCCTCGAAGCCCTCCAAATGTCCCCTTGCAGATGCTAGAAAGAGAGGGTTTCAAAGCTGCTCTATCAAAAGGAAAGTACAACTCTGTGAGTTGAATGCAAACATCACAAAGAAGTTCCTGAGCATGCTTCCGTTTAGCTTTTATGGGAAGATTATCCCTTTTCCATCGAAATGTTCAAAGAGGTCCACATATCCGCTTGCAGATTCCACCGAAAGAGTGTTTCCAAACTGCTGTATCAAAAGGAATCTTCAACTCCGTGAGTTGAATGCAATCATCACAAAGAAGTTTCTGACAACGCTTCTCTCTAGTTTTTATGTGAAGATATTTCCTTTTCCACCACAGGCCTGAAAGCGCTCCAAATGTCCACTTGGAGACTCTACGAAAAGAATGTTTCAAAACTGCTCTATGAAAAGCAATGTTATACTCTGGGAGTTGAACACAAGCCTCACAAAGGAGTTTCTGAGAATGCTTCTGTTTACTTTTTACGTGAAGATATTCCCGTTTCCAAAGAAATCTTCACAGACTTCCACCTATCCATTTGCAGATGCTTGAAAAAGAGAGTTTCAAAACTGCTCTATCAAAAGGAATGTTCAACTCTGTGAGTTGAATGCAGTCATCACAGAGAAGTTTCTGAGAAGGCTTCTGTCTAGATTTTATGTGAAGATATACCCGTTTCGAACAAAGGCCACAAAGTGCTCCAAATATCCACTTGCAGGTCCTCCAACAAGAGTGTTTCAAACGTGAACTATCAAAGGAAGGTTCAACTCTGGACTTTGAATGCAAACGTCAGAAAGATGTTTCTGCGAAAGCTTCTGTTTAGTTAGGTGACGTTATCCCGTTTCCAACGAAATCCTCAGAGAGGTCCAAATATCCACCTGCAGATTCTGCAAAAAGTGTGTTTCCAAACTGCTCCACCCAAAGGCATGTTCAGCTCTGTGAGTTAAACTCAATCATCACAAAGTATTTTCTGAGAATGCTTCTGTCCAGTTTTTACATGAAGCTGTTTCCTTTACTACCGTAGGCCTCAAAGCGTTCCAAATCTCAACTTGCAGATACTACGAAAAGGGCGTTTCAACCTGAACTCTCAAGGGAAGGTTCAACTCTGTCAGTTGAATGCCAACATCACAAAGAAGTTCTGGGAGTGTTTCTCTTCAGTTATGTGAGTTTTATCCCGTTTCCAACGAAATTCTCAGAGAAGTACAAATATCCACTTGCATATTCTACAAAAAGTGTGTTTTGAAAGTGCTCCATCAAAAGATATGCTCAGCTCTGTGAGTTAAACTCAATCATCACAAAGAATTTTCTGAGAATGCTTCTGTCTTGTTTTAGGATGAAGTTATTTCCTTTACGACGATAGGCCTCAAAGAGGTCCAAATCTCCAGTTGCAGATTCTGCAGTAGGAGTGTTTCAAACCTGAACTATCAGAGAAAGGTTCAACACTGTGAGTTGAATGCAAGCATCACGAAGAAGGTTCTGAGAATGCTTCTGTTTAGATAGGTGAGTTTTCTCCCGTATCCAACGAAATCCTCAGAGAGGTCCAAATATCCACCTGCAGATTCTGCAAAAAGTGTGTTTCAAAACTGCTGCACCCAAAGGCATGTTCAGCTCTGTGAGTTAAACTCAATCATCACAAAGTATTTTCTGAGAATGCTTCTGTCCAGTTTTTACATGAAGCTGTTTCCTTTACTACCGTAGGCCTCAAAGCGTTCCAAATCTCCACTTGCAGATACTACGAAAAGAGCGTTTCAACCTGAACTCACAAGGGAAGGTTCAACTCTGTCAGTTGAATGCCAACATCACAAAGAAGTTCTGGGAATGTTTCTCTTCAGTTATGTGAGTTTTATCCCGTTTCCAACGAAATTCTCAGAGAAGTACAAATATCCACTTGCATATTCTACAAAAAGTGTGTTTTGAAAGTGCTCCATCAAAAGATATGCTCAGCTCTGTGAGTTAAACTCAATCATCACAAAGAATTTTCTGAGAATGCTTCTGTCTTGTTTTAGGATGAAGTTATTTCCTTTACGACGATAGGCCTCAAAGAGGTCCAAATCTCCACTTGCAGATTCTGCAGAAGGAGTGTTTCAAACCTGAACTATCAGAGAAAGGTTCAACACTGTGAGTTGAAAGCAAGCATCACGAAGAAGGTTCTGAGAATGCTTCTGTTTAGATAGGTGAGTTTTCTCCCGTATCCAACGAAATCCTCAGAGAGGTCCAAATATCCACTTGCAGATTCTACAGAAAGTGTGTTTTGAAACTGCTCCATCCAAAGGAATGTTCAGCTCTGTGAGTTGAACTCAATCGTCACAAAGTGTTTCCTGGGAATGCTACTGTCTAGTTTTTATGGGCAGTTATATCCTCTGCTGCCATAGGCCTCAAAGCGGTCCAAATCTCCCCTTTCAGATTCTACCAAAAGTGTGTTTCCAAACGGCTCTATCAAAGGGAATGTTCAACTCTGTGACTTGAATGCAATCATCACAAAGCAGTTTCTGAGAATGCTTCCATGTAGCTTCTATGAGCAGATATTTCCTTTTCCACCCCAGGCCTCGAAGCCCTCCAAGTGTCCCCTTGCAGATGCTAGAAAGAGAGGGTTTCAAAGCTGCTCTATCAAAAGGAAAGTACAACTCTGTGAGTTGAATGCAAACATCACAAAGAAGTTCCTGAGCATGCTTCCGTTTAGCTTTTATGGGAAGATTATCCCTTTTCCATCGAAATGTTCAAAGAGGTCCACATATCCGCTTGCAGATTCCACCGAAAGACTGTTTCCAAACTGCTGTATCGAAAGGAATCTTCAACTCCGTGAGTTGAATGCAATCATCACAAAGAAGTTTCTGACAACGCTTCTCTCTAGTTTTTATGTGAAGATATTTCCTTTTCCACCACAGGCCTGAAAGCGCTCCAAATGTCCACTTGGAGACTCTACGAAAAGAATCTTTCAAAACTGCTCTATGAAAAGCAATGTTATACTCTGGGAGTTGAACACAAGCCTCACAAAGGAGTTTCTGAGAATGCTTCTGTTTACTTTTTACGTGAAGATATTCCCGTTTCCAAAGAAATCTTCACAGACTTCCACCTATCCATTTGCAGATGCTAGAAAAAGAGAGTTTCAAAACTGCTCTATCAAAAGGAATGTTCAACTCTGTGAGTTGAATGCAGTCATCACAGAGAAGTTTCTGAGAAGGCTTCTGTCTAGATTTTATGTGAAGATATACCCGTTTCGAACAAAGGCCACAAAGTGCTCCAAATATCCACTTGCAGGTCCTCCAACAAGAGTGTTTCAAACGTGAACTATCAAAGGAAGGTTCAACTCTGGACTTTGAATGCAAACGTCAGAAAGATGTTTCTGCGAAAGCTTCTGTTTAGTTAGGTGACGTTATCCCGTTTCCAACGAAATCCTCAGAGAGGTCCAAATATCCACCTGCAGATTCTGCAAAAAGTGTGTTTCCAAACTGCTCCACCCAAAGGCATGTTCAGCTCTGTGAGTTAAACTCAATCATCACAAAGTATTTTCTGAGAATGCTTCTGTCCAGTTTTTACATGAAGCTGTTTCCTTTACTACCGTAGGCCTCAAAGCGTTCCAAATCTCCACTTGCAGATACTACGAAAAGGGCGTTTCAACCTGAACTCACAAGGGAAGGTTCAACTCTGAGAGTTGAATGCCAACATCACAAAGAAGTTCTGGGAATGTTTCTCTTCAGTTATGTGAGTTTTATCCCGTTTCCAACGAAATTCTCAGAGAAGTACAAATATCCACTTGCATATTCTACAAAAAGTGTGTTTTGAAAGTGCTCCATCAAAAGATATGCTCAGCTCTGTGAGTTAAACTCAATCATCACAAAGAATTTTCTGAGAATGCTTCTGTGTTGTTTTAGGATGAAGTTATTTCCTTTACGACGATAGGCCTCAAAGAGGTCCAAATCTCCACTTGCAGATTCTGCAGAAGGAGTGTTTCAAACCTGAACTATCAGAGAAAGGTTCAACACTGTGAGTTGAATGCAAGCATCACGAAGAAGGTTCTGAGAATGCTTCTGTTTAGATAGGTGAGTTTTCTCCCGTATCCAACGAAATCCTCAGAGAGGTCCAAATATCCACTTGCAGATTCTACAGAAAGTGTGTTTTGAAACTGCTCCATCCAAAGGAATGTTCAGCTCTGTGAGTTGAACTCAATCGTCACAAAGTGTTTCCTGGGAATGCTACTGTCTAGTTTTTATGGGCAGTTATATCCTCTGCTGCCATAGGCCTCAAAGCGGTCCAAATCTCCCCTTTCAGATTCTACCAAAAGTGTGTTTCCAAACGGCTCTATCAAAGGGAATGTTCAACTCTGTGACTTGAATGCAATCATCACAAAGCAGTTTCTGAGAATGCTTCCATGTAGCTTTTAGGAGAAGATATTTCCTTTTCCACCCCAGGCCTCGAAGCCCTCCAAATGTCCCCTTGCAGATGCTAGAAAGAGAGGGTTTCAAAGCTGCTCTATCAAAAGGAAAGTACAACTCTGTGAGTTGAATGCAAACATCACAAAGAAGCTCCTGAGCATGCTTCCGTTTAGCTTTCATGGGAAGATTATCCCTTTTCCATCGAAATGTTCAAAGAGGTCCACATATCCGCTTGCAGATTCCACCGAAAGAGTGTTTCCAAACTGCTGTATCAAAAGGAATCTTCAACTCCGTGAGTTGAATGCAATCATCACAAAGAAGTTTCTGACAATGCTTCTCTCTAGTTTTTATGTGAAGATATTTCCTTTTCCACCACAGGCCTGAAAGCGCTCCAAATGTCCACTTGGAGACTCTACGAAAAGAATGTTTCAAAACTGCTCTATGAAAAGCAATGTTATACTCTGGGAGTTGAACACAAGCCTCACAAAGGAGTTTCTGAGAATGCTTCTGTTTACTTTTTACGTGAAGATATTCCCGTTTCCAAAGAAATCTTCACAGGCTTCCACCTATCCATTTGCAGATGCTAGAAAAAGAGAGTTTCAAAACTGCTCTATCAAAAGGAATGTTCAACTCTGTGAGTTGAATGCAGTCATCACAGAGAAGTTTCTGAGAAGGCTTCTGTCTAGATTTTATGTGAAGATATACCCGTTTCGAACAAAGGCCACAAAGTGCTCCAAATATCCACTTTCAGGTCCTCCAACAAGAGTGTTTCAAACGTGAACTATCAAAGGAAGGTTCAACTCTGGACTTTGAATGCAAACGTCAGAAAGATGTTTCTGCGAAAGCTTCTGTTTAGTTAGGTGACGTTACCCGTTTCCAACGAAATCCTCAGAGAGGTCCAAATATCCACCTGCAGATTCTGCAAAAAGTGTGTTTCCAAACTGCTCCACCCAAAGGCATGTTCAGCTCTGTGAGTTAAACTCAATCATCACAAAGTATTTTCTGAGAATGCTTCTGTCCAGTTTTTACATGAAGCTGTTTCCTTTACTACCGTAGGCCTCAAAGCGTTCCAAATCTCCACTTGCAGATACTACGAAAAGAGCGTTTCAACCTGAACTCACAAGGGAAGGTTCAACTCTGTCAGTTGAATGCCAACATCACAAAGAAGTTCTGGGAATGTTTCTCTTCAGTTATGTGAGTTTTATCCCGTTTCCAACGAAATTCTCAGAGAAGTACAAATATCCACTTGCATATTCTACAAAAAGTGTGTTTTGAAAGTGCTCCATCAAAAGATATGCTCAGCTCTGTGAGTTAAACTCAATCATCACAAAGAATTTTCTGAGAATGCTTCTGTCTTGTTTTAGGATGAAGTTATTTCCTTTACGACGATAGGCCTCAAAGAGGTCCAAATCTCCACTTGCAGATTCTGCAGAAGGAGTGTTTCAAACCTGAACTATCAGAGAAAGGTTCAACACTGTGAGTTGAATGCAAGCATTACGAAGAAGGTTCTGAGAATGCCTCTGTTTAGATAGGTGAGTTTTCTCCCGTATCCAACGAAATCCTCAGAGAGGTCCAAATATCCACTTGCAGATTCTACAGAAAGTGTGTTTTGAAACTGCTCCATCCAAAGGAATGTTCAGCTCTGTGAGTTGAACTCAATCGTCACAAAGTGTTTCCTGGGAATGCTACTGTCTAGTTTTTATGGGCAGTTATATCCTCTGCTGCCATAGGCCTCAAAGCGGTCCAAATCTCCCCTTTCAGATTCTACCAAAAGTGTGTTTCCAAACGGCTCTATCAAAGGGAATGTTCAACTCTGTGAGTTGCATGCAATCATCACAAAGCAGTTTCTGAGAATGCTTCCATGTAGCTTTAATGAGCAGATATTTCCTTTTCCACCCCAGGCCTCGAAGCCCTCCAAATGTCCCCTTGCAGATGCTAGAAAGAGAGGGTTTCAAAGCTGCTCTATCAAAAGGAAAGTACAACTCTGTGAGTTGAATGCAAACATCACAAAGAAGCTCCTGAGCATGCTTCCGTTTAGCTTTCATGGGAAGATTATCCCTTTTCCATCGAAATGTTCAAAGAGGTCCACATATCCGCTTGCAGATTCCACCGAAAGAGTGTTTCCAAACTGCTGTATCAAAAGGAATCTTCAACTCCGTGAGTTGAATGCAATCATCACAAAGAAGTTTCTGACAATGCTTCTCTCTAGTTTTTATGTGAAGATATTTCCTTTTCCACCACAGGCCTGAAAGCGCTCCAAATGTCCACTTGGAGACTCTACGAAAAGAATGTTTCAAAACTGCTCTATGAAAAGCAATGTTATACTCTGGGAGTTGAACACAAGCCTCACAAAGGACTTTCTGAGAATGCTTCTGTTTACTTTTTACGTGAAGATATTCCCGTTTCCAAAGAAATCTTCACAGACTTCCACCTATCCATTTGCAGATGCTAGAAAAAGAGAGTTTCAAAACTGCTCTATCAAAAGGAATGTTCAACTCTGTGAGTTGAATGCAGTCATCACAGAGAAGTTTCTGAGAAGGCTTCTGTCTAGATTTTATGTGAAGATATACCCGTTTCGAACGAAGGCCACAAAGTGCTCCAAATATCCACTTGCAGGTCCTCCAACAAGAGTGTTTCAAACGTGAACTATCAAAGGAAGGTTCAACTCTGGACTTTGAATGCAAACGTCAGAAAGATGTTTCTGCGAAAGCTTCTGTTTAGTTAGGTGACGTTATCCCGTTTCCAACGAAATCCTCAGAGAGGTCCAAATATCCACCTGCAGATTCTGCAAAAAGTGTGTTTCCAAACTGCTCCACCCAAAGGCATGTTCAGCTCTGTGAGTTAAACTCAATCATCACAAAGTATTTTCTGAGAATGCTTCTGTCCAGTTTTTACATGAAGCTGTTTCGTTTACTACCGTAGGCCTCAAAGCGTTCCAAATCTCCACTTGCAGATACTACGAAAAGGGCGTTTCAACCTGAACTCTCAAGGGAAGGTTCAACTCTGTCAGTTGAATGCCAACATCACAAAGAAGTTCTGGGAGTGTTTCTCTTCAGTTATGTGAGTTTTATCCCGTTTCCAACGAAATTCTCAGAGAAGTACAAATATCCACTTGCATATTCTACAAAAAGTGTGTTTTGAAAGTGCTCCATCAAAAGATATGCTCAGCTCTGTGAGTTAAACTCAATCATCACAAAGAATTTTCTGAGAATGCTTCTGTCTTGTTTTAGGATGAAGTTATTTCCTTTACGACGATAGGCCTCAAAGAGGTCCAAATCTCCACTTGCAGATTCTGCAGAAGGAGTGTTTCAAACCTGAACTATCAGAGAAAGGTTCAACACTGTGAGTTGAATGCAAGCATCACGAAGAAGGTTCTGAGAATGCTTCTGTTTAGATAGGTGAGTTTTCTCCCGTATCCAACGAAATCCTCAGAGAGGTCCAAATATCCACTTGCAGATTCTACAGAAAGTGTGTTTTGAAACTGCTCCATCCAAAGGAATGTTCAGCTCTGTGAGTTGAACTCAATCGTCACAAAGTGTTTCCTGGGAATGCTACTGTCTAGTTTTTATGGGCAGTTATATCCTCTGCTGCCATAGGCCTCAAAGCGGTCCAAATCTCCCCTTTCAGATTCTACCAAAAGTGTGTTTCCAAACGGCTCTATCAAAGGGAATGTTCAACTCTGTGACTTGAATGCAATCATCACAAAGCAGTTTCTGAGAATGCTTGCATGTAGCTTTAATGAGCAGATATTTCCTTTTCCACCCCAGGCCTCGAAGCCCTCCAAATGTCCCCTTGCAGATGCTAGAAAGAGAGGGTTTCAAAGCTGCTCTATCAAAAGGAAAGTACAACTCTGTGAGTTGAATGCAAACATCACAAAGAAGCTCCTGAGCATGCTTCCGTTTAGCTTTCATGGGAAGATTATCCCTTTTCCATCGAAATGTTCAAAGAGGTCCACATATCCGCTTGCAGATTCCACCGAAAGAGTGTTTCCAACCTGCTGTATCAAAAGGAATCTTCAACTCCGTGAGTTGAATGCAATCATCACAAAGAAGTTTCTGACAATGCTTCTCTCTAGTTTTTATGTGAAGATATTTCCTTTTCCACCACAGGCCTGAAAGCGCTCCAAATGTCCACTTGGAGACTCTACGAAAAGAATGTTTCAAAACTGCTCTATGAAAAGCAATGTTATACTCTGGGAGTTGAACACAAGCCTCACAAAGGACTTTCTGAGAATGCTTCTGTTTACCTTTTACGTGAAGATATTCCCGTTTCCAAAGAAATCTTCACAGACTTCCACCTATCCATTTGCAGATGCTAGAAAAAGAGAGTTTCAAAACTGCTCTATCAAAAGGAATGTTCAACTCTGTGAGTTGAATGCAGTCATCACAGAGAAGTTTCTGAGAAGGCTTCTGTCTAGATTTTATGTGAAGATATACCCGTTTCGAACGAAGGCCACAAAGTGCTCCAAATATCCACTTGCAGGTCCTCCAACAAGAGTGTTTCAAACGTGAACTATCAAAGGAAGGTTCAACTCTGGACTTTGAATGCAAACGTCAGAAAGATGTTTCTGCGAAAGCTTCTGTTTAGTTAGGTGACGTTATCCCGTTTCCAACGAAATCCTCAGAGAGGTCCAAATATCCACCTGCAGATTCTGCAAAAAGTGTGTTTCCAAACTGCTGCACCCAAAGGCATGTTCAGCTCTGTGAGCTAAACTCAATCATCACAAAGTATTTTCTGAGAATGCTTCTGTCCAGTTTTTACATGAAGCTGTTTCCTTTACTACCGTAGGCCTCAAAGCGTTCCAAATCTCCACTTGCAGATACTACGAAAAGGGCGTTTCAACCTGAACTCACAAGGGAAGGTTCAACTCTGTCAGTTGAATGCCAACATCACAAAGAAGTTCTGGGAATGTTTCTCTTCAGTTATGTGAGTTTTATCCCGTTTCCAACGAAATTCTCAGAGAAGTACAAATATCCACTTGCATATTCTACACAAAGTGTGTTTTGAAAGTGCTCCATCAAAAGATATGCTCAGCTCTGTGAGTTAAACTCAATCATCACAAAGAATTTTCTGAGAATGCTTCTGTCTTGTTTTAGGATGAAGTTATTTCCTTTACGACGATAGGCCTCAAAGAGGTCCAAATCTCCACTTGCAGATTCTGCAGAAGGAGTGTTTCAAACCTGAACTATCAGAGAAAGGTTCAACACTGTGAGTTGAATGCAAGCATCACGAAGAAGGTTCTGAGAATGCTTCTGTTTAAATAGGTGAGTTTTCTCCCGTATCCAACGAAATCCTCAGAGAGGTCCAAATATCCACTTGCAGATTCTACAGAAAGTGTGTTTTGAAACTGCTCCATCCAAAGGAATGTTGAGCTCTGTGAGTTGAACTCAAACGTCACAAAGTGTTTCCTGGGAATGCTACTGTCTAGTTTTTATGGGCAGTTATATCCTCTGCTGCCATAGGCCTCAAAGCGGTCCAAATCTCCCCTTTCAGATTCTACCAAAAGTGTGTTTCCAAACGGCTCTATCAAAGGGAATGTTCAACTCTGTGACTTGAATGCAATCATCACAAAGCAGTTTCTGAGAATGCTTCCATGTAGCTTTTATGAGCAGATATTTCCTTTTCCACCCCAGGCCTCGAAGCCCTCCAAATGTCCCCTTGCAGATGCTAGAAAGAGAGGGTTTCAAAGCTGCTCTATCAAAAGGAAAGTACAACTCTGTGAGTTGAATGCAAACATCACAAAGAAGTTCCTGAGCATGCTTCCGTTTAGCTTTTATGGGAAGATTATCCCTTTTCCATCGAAATGTTCAAAGAGGTCCACATATCCGCTTGCAGATTCCACCGAAAGAGTGTTTCCAAACTGCTGTATCAAAAGGAATCTTCAACTCCGTGAGTTGAATGCAATCATCACAAAGAAGTTTCTGACAACGCTTCTCTCTAGTTTGTATGTGAAGATATTTCCTTTTCCACCACAGGCCTGAAAGCGCTCCAAATGTCCACTTGGAGACTCTACGAAAAGAATGTTTCAAAACTGCTCTATGAAAAGCAATGTTATACTCTGGGAGTTGAACACAAGCCTCACAAAGGAGTTTCTGAGAATGCTTCTGTTTACTTTTTACGTGAAGATATTCCCGTTTCCAAAGAAATCTTCACAGGCTTCCACCTATCCATTTGCAGATGCTAGAAAAAGAGAGTTTCAAAACTGCTCTATCAAAAGGAATGTTCAACTCTGTGAGTTGAATGCAGTCATCACAGAGAAGTTTCTGAGAAGGCTTCTGTCTAGATTTTATGTGAAGATATACCCGTTTCGAACAAAGGCCACAAAGTGCTCCAAATATCCACTTGCAGGTCCTCCAACAAGAGTGTTTCAAACGTGAACTATCAAAGGAAGGTTCAACTCTGGACTTTGAATGCAAACGTCAGAAAGATGTTTCTGCGAAAGCTTTCTGTTTAGTTAGGTGACGTTATCCCGTTTCCAACGAAATCCTCAGAGAGGTCCAAATATCCACCTGCAGATTCTGCAAAAAGTGTGTTTCCAAACTGCTCCACCCAAAGGCATGTTCAGCTCTGTGAGTTAAACTCAATCATCACAAAGTATTTTCTGAGAATGCTTCTGTCCAGTTTTCACATGAAGCTGTTTCCTTTACTACCGTAGGCCTCAAAGCGTTCCAAATCTCCACTTGCAGATACTACGAAAAGAGCGTTTCAACCTGAACTCACAAGGGAAGGTTCAACTCTGTCAGTTGAATGCCAACATCACAAAGAAATTCTGGGAATGTTTCTCTTCAGTTATGTGAGTTTTATCCCGTTTCCAACGAAATTCTCAGAGAAGTACAAATATCCACTTGCATATTCTACAAAAAGTGTGTTTTGAAAGTGCTCCATCAAAAGATATGCTCAGCTCTGTGAGTTAAACTCAATCATCACAAAGAATTTTCTGAGAATGCTTCTGTCTTGTTTTAGGATGAAGTTATTTCCTTTACGACGATAGGCCTCAAAGAGGTCCAAATCTCCACTTGCAGATTCTGCAGAAGGAGTGTTTCAAACCTGAACTATCAGAGAAAGGTTCAACACTGTGAGTTGAATGCAAGCATCACGAAGAAGGTTCTGAGAATGCTTCTGTTTAGATAGGTGAGTTTTCTCCCGTATCCAACGAAATCCTCAGAGAGGTCCAAATATCCACTTGCAGATTCTACAGAAAGTGTGTTTTGAAACTGCTCCATCCAAAGGAATGTTCAGCTCTGTGAGTTGAACTCAATCGTCACAAAGTGTTTTCCTGGGAATGCTACTGTCTAGTTTTTATGGGCAGTTATATCCTCTGCTGCCATAGGCCTCAAAGCGGTCCAAATCTCCCCTTTCAGATTCTACCAAAAGTGTGTTTCCAAACGGCTCTATCAAAGGGAATGTTCAACTCTGTGACTTGAATGCAATCATCACAAAGCAGTTTCTGAGAATGCTTCCATGTAGCTTTAATGAGCAGATATTTCCTTTTCCACCCCAGGCCTCGAAGCCCTCCAAATGTCCCCTTGCAGATGCTAGAAAGAGAGGGTTTCAAAGCTGCTCTATCAAAAGGAAAGTACAACTCTGTGAGTTGAATGCAAACATCACAAAGAAGCTCCTGAGCATGCTTCCGTTTAGCTTTCATGGGAAGATTATCCCTTTTCCATCGAAATGTTCAAAGAGGTCCACATATCCGCTTGCAGATTCCACCGAAAGAGTGTTTCCAAACTGCTGTATCAAAAGGAATCTTCAACTCCGTGAGTTGAATGCAATCATCACAAAGAAGTTTCTGACAATGCTTCTCTCTAGTTTTTATGTGAAGATATTTCCTTTTCCACCACAGGCCTGAAAGCGCTCCAAATGTCCACTTGGAGACTCTACGAAAAGAATGTTTCAAAACTGCTCTATGAAAAGCAATGTTATACTCTGGGAGTTGAACACAAGCCTCACAAAGGAGTTTCTGAGAATGCTTCTGTTTACTTTTTACGTGAAGATATTCCCGTTTCCAAAGAAATCTTCACAGACTTCCACCTATCCATTTGCAGATGCTAGAAAAAGAGAGTTTCAAAACTGCTCTATCAAAAGGAATGTTCAACTCTGTGAGTTGAATGCAGTCATCACAGAGAAGTTTCTGAGAAGGCTTCTGTCTAGATTTTATGTGAAGATATACCCGTTTCGAACGAAGGCCACAAAGTGCTCCAAATATCCACTTGCAGGTCCTCCAACAAGAGTGTTTCAAACGTGAACTATCAAAGGAAGGTTCAACTCTGGACTTTGAATGCAAACGTCAGAAAGATGTTTCTGCGAAAGCTTCTGTTTAGTTAGGTGACGTTATCCCGTTTCCAAGGAAATCCTCAGAGAGGTCCAAATATCCACCTGCAGATTCTGCAAAAAGTGTGTTTCCAAACTGCTCCACCCAAAGGCATGTTCAGCTCTGTGAGTTAAACTCAATCATCACAAAGTATTTTCTGAGAATGCTTCTGTCCAGTTTTTACATGAAGCTGTTTCCTTTACTACCGTAGGCCTCAAAGCGTTCCAAATCTCCACTTGCAGATACTACGAAAAGGGCGTTTCAACCTGAACTCACAAGGGAAGGTTCAACTCTGTCAGTTGAATGCCAACATCACAAAGAAGTTCTGGGAAGGTTTCTCTTCAGTTATGTGAGTTTTATCCCGTTTCCAACGAAATTCTCAGAGAAGTACAAATATCCACTTGCATATTCTACACAAAGTGTGTTTTGAAAGTGCTCCATCAAAAGATATGCTCAGCTCTGTGAGGTAAACTCAATCATCACAAAGAATTTTCTGAGAATGCTTCTGTCTTGTTTTAGGATGAAGTTATTTCCTTTACGACGATAGGCCTCAAAGAGGTCCAAATCTCCACTTGCAGATTCTGCAGAAGGAGTGTTTCAAACCTGAACTATCAGAGAAAGGTTCAACACTGTGAGTTGAATGCAAGCATCACGAAGAAGGTTCTGAGAATGCTTCTGTTTAGATAGGTGAGTTTTCTCCCGTATCCAACGAAATCCTCAGAGAGGTCCAAATATCCACTTGCAGATTCTACAGAAAGTGTGTTTTGAAACTGCTCCATCCAAAGGAATGTTCAGCTCTGTGAGTTGAACTCAATCGTCACAAAGTGTTTCCTGGGAATGCTACTGTCTAGTTTTTATGGGCAGTTATATCCTCTGCTGCCATAGGCCTCAAAGCGGTCCAAATCTCCCCTTTCAGATTCTACCAAAAGTGTGTTTCCAAACGGCTCTATCAAAGGGAATGTTCAACTCTGTGACTTGAATGCAATCATCACAAAGCAGTTTCTGAGAATGCTTCCATGTAGCTTTTAGGAGAAGATATTTCCTTTTCCACCCCAGGCCTCGAAGCCCTCCAAATGTCCCCTTGCAGATGCTAGAAAGAGAGGGTTTCAAAGCTGCTCTATCAAAAGGAAAGTACAACTCTGTGAGTTGAATGCAAACATCACAAAGAAGCTCCTGAGCATGCTTCCGTTTAGCTTTCATGGGAAGATTATCCCTTTTCCATCGAAATGTTCAAAGAGGTCCACATATCCGCTTGCAGATTCCACCGAAAGAGTGTTTCCAAACTGCTGTATCAAAAGGAATCTTCAACTCCGTGAGTTGAATGCAATCATCACAAAGAAGTTTCTGACAATGCTTCTCTCTAGTTTTTATGTGAAGATATTTCCTTTTCCACCACAGGCCTGAAAGCGCTCCAAATGTCCACTTGGAGACTCTACGAAAAGAATGTTTCAAAACTGCTCTATGAAAAGCAATGTTATACTCTGGGAGTTGAACACAAGCCTCACAAAGGACTTTCTGAGAATGCTTCTGTTTACTTTTTACGTGAAGATATTCCCGTTTCCAAAGAAATCTTCACAGACTTCCACCTATCCATTTGCAGATGCTAGAAAAAGAGAGTTTCAAAACTGCTCTATCAAAAGGAATGTTCAACTCTGTGAGTTGAATGCAGTCATCACAGAGAAGTTTCTGAGAAGGCTTCTGTCTAGATTTTATGTGAAGATATACCCGTTTCGAACGAAGGCCACAAAGTGCTCCAAATATCCACTTGCAGGTCCTCCAACAAGAGTGTTTCAAACGTGAACTATCAAAGGAAGGTTCAACTCTGGACTTTGAATGCAAACGTCAGAAAGATGTTTCTGCGAAAGCTTCTGTTTAGTTAGGTGACGTTATCCCGTTTCCAACGAAATCCTCAGAGAGGTCCAAATATCCACCTGCAGATTCTGCAAAAAGTGTGTTTCCAAACTGCTCCACCCAAAGGCATGTTCAGCTCTGTGAGTTAAACTCAATCATCACAAAGTATTTTCTGAGAATGCTTCTGTCCAGTTTTTACATGAAGCTGTTTCCTTTACTACCGTAGGCCTCAAAGCGTTCCAAATCTCCACTTGCAGATACTACGAAAAGGGCGTTTCAACCTGAACTCACAAGGGAAGGTTCAACTCTGAGAGTTGAATGCCAACATCACAAAGAAGTTCTGGGAATGTTTCTCTTCAGTTATGTGAGTTTTATCCCGTTTCCAACGAAATTCTCAGAGAAGTACAAATATCCACTTGCATATTCTACACAAAGTGTGTTTTGAAAGTGCTCCATCAAAAGATATGCTCAGCTCTGTGAGTTAAACTCAATCATCACAAAGAATTTTCTGAGAATGCTTCTGTCTTGTTTTAGGATGAAGTTATTTCCTTTACGACGATAGGCCTCAAAGAGGTCCAAATCTCCACTTGCAGATTCTGCAGAAGGAGTGTTTCAAACCTGAACTATCAGAGAAAGGTTCAACACTGTGAGTTGAATGCAAGCATCACGAAGAAGGTTCTGAGAATGCTTCTGTTTAGATAGGTGAGTTTTCTCCCGTATCCAACGAAATCCTCAGAGAGGTCCAAATATCCACTTGCAGATTCTACAGAAAGTGTGTTTTGAAACTGCTCCATCCAAAGGAATGTTCAGCTCTGTGAGTTGAACTCAATCGTCACAAAGTGTTTCCTGGGAATGCTACTGTCTAGTTTTTATGGGCAGTTATATCCTCTGCTGCCATAGGCCTCAAAGCGGTCCAAATCTCCCCTTTCAGATTCTACCAAAAGTGTGTTTCCAAACGGCTCTATCAAAGGGAATGTTCAACTCTGTGACTTGAATGCAATCATCACAAAGCAGTTTCTGAGAATGCTTCCATGTAGCTTTAATGAGCAGATATTTCCTTTTCCACCCCAGGCCTCGAAGCCCTCCAAATGTCCCCTTGCAGATGCTAGAAAGAGAGGGTTTCAAAGCTGCTCTATCAAAAGGAAAGTACAACTCTGTGAGTTGAATGCAAACATCACAAAGAAGCTCCTGAGCATGCTTCCGTTTAGCTTTCATGGGAAGATTATCCCTTTTCCATCGAAATGTTCAAAGAGGTCCACATATCCGCTTGCAGATTCCACCGAAAGAGTGTTTCCAAACTGCTGTATCAAAAGGAATCTTCAACTCCGTGAGTTGAATGCAATCATCACAAAGAAGTTTCTGACAATGCTTCTCTCTAGTTTTTATGTGAAGATATTTCCTTTTCCACCACAGGCCTGAAAGCGCTCCAAATGTCCACTTGGAGACTCTACGAAAAGAATGTTTCAAAACTGCTCTATGAAAAGCAATGTTATACTCTGGGAGTTGAACTCAAGCCTCACAAAGGACTTTCTGAGAATGCTTCTGTTTACTTTTTACGTGAAGATATTCCCGTTTCCAAAGAAATCTTCACAGACTTCCACCTATCCATTTGCAGATGCTAGAAAAAGAGAGTTTCAAAACTGCTCTATCAAAAGGAATGTTCAACTCTGTGAGTTGAATGCAGTCATCACAGAGAAGTTTCTGAGAAGGCTTCTGTCTAGATTTTATGTGAAGATATACCCGTTTCGAACGAAGGCCACAAAGTGCTCCAAATATCCACTTGCAGGTCCTCCAACAAGAGTGTTTCAAACGTGAACTATCAAAGGAAGGTTCAACTCTGGACTTTGAATGCAAACGTCAGAAAGATGTTTCTGCGAAAGCTTCTGTTTAGTTAGGTGACGTTATCCCGTTTCCAACGAAATCCTCAGAGAGGTCCAAATATCCACCTGCAGATTCTGCAAAAAGTGTGTTTCCAAACTGCTGCACCCAAAGGCATGTTCAGCTCTGTGAGTTAAACTCAATCATCACAAAGTATTTTCTGAGAATGCTTCTGTCCAGTTTTTACATGAAGCTGTTTCCTTTACTACCGTAGGCCTCAAAGCGTTCCAAATCTCCACTTGCAGATACTACGAAAAGGGCGTTTCAACCTGAACTCACAAGGGAAGGTTCAACTCTGTCAGTTGAATGCCAACATCACAAAGAAGTTCTGGGAATGTTTCTCTTCAGTTATGTGAGTTTTATCCCGTTTCCAACGAAATTCTCAGAGAAGTACAAATATCCACTTGCATATTCTACAAAAAGTGTGTTTTGAAAGTGCTCCATCAAAAGATATGCTCAGCTCTGTGAGTTAAACTCAATCATCACAAAGAATTTTCTGAGAATGCTTCTGTCTTGTTTTAGGATGAAGTTATTTCCTTTACGACGATAGGCCTCAAAGAGGTCCAAATCTCCACTTGCAGATTCTGCAGAAGGAGTGTTTCAAACCTGAACTATCAGACAAAGGTTCAACACTGTGAGTTGAATGCAAGCATCACGAAGAAGGTTCTGAGAATGCTTCTGTTTAGATAGGTGAGTTTTCTCCCGTATCCAACGAAATCCTCAGAGAGGTCCAAATATCCACTTGCAGATTCCACAGAAAGTGTGTTTTGAAACTGCTCCATCCAAAGGAATGTTCAGCTCTGTGAGTTGAACTCAATCGTCACAAAGTGTTTCCTGAGAATGCTACTGTCTAGTTTTTATGGGCAGTTATATCCTCTGCTGCCATAGGCCTCAAAGCGGTCCAAATCTCCCCTTTCAGATTCTACCAAAAGTGTGTTTCCAAACGGCTCTATCAAAGGGAATGTTCAACTCTGTGACTTGAATGCAATCATCACAAAGCAGTTTCTGAGAATGCTTCCATGTAGCTTTTAGGAGCAGATATTTCCTTTTCCACCCCAGGCCTCGAAGCCCTCCAAATGTCCCCTTGCAGATGCTAGAAAGAGAGGGTTTCAAAGCTGCTCTATCAAAAGGAAAGTACAACTCTGTGAGTTGAATGCAAACATCACAAAGAAGTTCCTGAGCATGCTTCCGTTTAGCTTTTATGGGAAGATTATCCCTTTTCCATCGAAATGTTCAAAGAGGTCCACATATCCGCTTGCAGATTCCACCGAAAGAGTGTTTCCAAACTGCTGTATCAAAAGGAATCTTCAACTCCGTGAGTTGAATGCAATCATCACAAAGAAGTTTCTGACAACGCTTCTCTCTAGTTTTTATGTGAAGATATTTCCTTTTCCACCACAGGCCTGAAAGCGCTCCAAATGTCCACTTGGAGACTCTACGAAAAGAATGTTTCAAAACTGCTCTATGAAAAGCAATGTTATACTCTGGGAGTTGAACACAAGCCTCACAAAGGAGTTTCTGAGAATGCTTCTGTTTACTTTTTACGTGAAGATATTCCCGTTTCCAAAGAAATCTTCACAGACTTCCACCTATCCATTTGCAGATGCTTGAAAAAGAGAGTTTCAAAACTGCTCTATCAAAAGGAATGTTCAACTCTGTGAGTTGAATGCAGTCATCACAGAGAAGTTTCTGAGAAGGCTTCTGTCTAGATTTTATGTGAAGATATACCCGTTTCGAACGAAGGCCACAAAGTGCTCCAAATATCCACTTGCAGGTCCTCCAACAAGAGTGTTTCAAACGTGAACTATCAAAGGAAGGTTCAACTCTGGACTTTGAATGCAAACGTCAGAAAGATGTTTCTGCGAAAGCTTCTGTTTAGTTAGGTGACGTTATCCCGTTTCCAACGAAATCCTCAGAGAGGTCCAAATATCCACCTGCAGATTCTGCAAAAAGTGTGTTTCCAAACTGCTCCACCCAAAGGCATGTTCAGCTCTGTGAGTTAAACTCAATCATCACAAAGTATTTTCTGAGAATGCTTCTGTCCAGTTTTTACATGAAGCTGTTTCCTTTACTACCGTAGGCCTCAAAGCGTTCCAAATCTCCACTTGCAGATACTACGAAAAGGGCGTTTCAACCTGAACTCACAAGGGAAGGTTCAACTCTGTCAGTTGAATGCCAACATCACAAAGAAGTTCTGGGAATGTTTCTCTTCAGTTATGTGAGTTTTATCCCGTTTCCAACGAAATTCTCAGAGAAGTACAAATATCCACTTGCATATTCTACAAAAAGTGTGTTTTGAAAGTGCTCCATCAAAAGATATGCTCAGCTCTGTGAGTTAAACTCAATCATCACAAAGAATTTTCTGAGAATGCTTCTGTCTTGTTTTAGGATGAAGTTATTTCCTTTACGACGATAGGCCTCAAAGAGGTCCAAATCTCCACTTGCAGATTCTGCAGAAGGAGTGTTTCAAACCTGAACTATCAGACAAAGGTTCAACACTGTGAGTTGAATGCAAGCATCACGAAGAAGGTTCTGAGAATGCTTCTGTTTAGATAGGTGAGTTTTCTCCCGTATCCAACGAAATCCTCAGAGAGGTCCAAATATCCACTTGCAGATTCCACAGAAAGTGTGTTTTGAAACTGCTCCATCCAAAGGAATGTTCAGCTCTGTGAGTTGAACTCAATCGTCACAAAGTGTTTCCTGAGAATGCTACTGTCTAGTTTTTATGGGCAGTTATATCCTCTGCTGCCATAGGCCTCAAAGCGGTCCAAATCTCCCCTTTCAGATTCTACCAAAAGTGTGTTTCCAAACGGCTCTATCAAAGGGAATGTTCAACTCTGTGACTTGAATGCAATCATCACAAAGCAGTTTCTGATAATGCTTCCATGTAGCTTTAATGAGCAGATATTTCCTTTTCCACCCCAGGCCTCGAAGCCCTCCAAATGTCCCCTTGCAGATGCTAGAAAGAGAGGGTTTCAAAGCTGCTCTATCAAAAGGAAAGTACAACTCTGTGAGTTGAATGGAAACATCACAAAGAAGCTCCTGAGCATGCTTCCGTTTAGCTTTTATGGGAAGATTATCCCTTTTCCATCGAAATGTTCAAAGAGGTCCACATATCCGCTTGCAGATTCCACCGAAAGAGTGTTTCCAAACTGCTGTATCAAAAGGAATCTTCAACTCCGTGAGTTGAATGCAATCATCACAAAGAAGTTTCTGACAACGCTTCTCTCTAGTTTTTATGTGAAGATATTTCCTTTTCCACCACAGGCCTGAAAGCGCTCCAAATGTCCACTTGGAGACTCTACGAAAAGAATGTTTCAAAACTGCTCTATGAAAAGCAATGTTATACTCTGGGAGTTGAACACAAGCCTCACAAAGGAGTTTCTGAGAATGCTTCTGTTTACTTTTTACGTGAAGATATTCCCGTTTCCAAAGAAATCTTCACAGGCTTCCACCTATCCATTTGCAGATGCTAGAAAAAGAGAGTTTCAAAACTGCTCTATCAAAAGGAATGTTCAACTCTGTGAGTTGAATGCAGTCATCACAGAGAAGTTTCTGAGAAGGCTTCTGTCTAGATTTTTTGTGAAGATATACCCGTTTCGAACGAAGGCCACAAAGTGCTCCAAATATCCACTTGCAGGTCCTCCAACAAGAGTGTTTGAAACGTGAACTATCAAAGGAAGGTTCAACTCTGGACTTTGAATGCAAACGTCAGAAAGATGTTTCTGCGAAAGCTTCTGTTTAGTTAGGCGACGTTATCCCGTTTCCAAAGAAATCCTCAGAGAGGTCCAAATGTCCACCTGCAGGGTCCACAAAAAGTGTGTTTCCAAACTGCTCCACCCAAAGGAATGTTCAGCTGTGTGAGTTAAACTCAATCATCACAAAGTATTTTCTGAGAATGCTTCTGTCCAGATTTTACATGAAGCTGTTTCCTTTACTACCGTAGGCCTCAAAGCATTCCAAATCTCCACTTGCAGATACTACGAAAAGAGCGTTTCAACCTGAACACAGAAGGGAAGGTTCAACTCTGTCAGTTGAATGCCAACATCACAAAGAAGTTCTGGGAATGTTTCTCTTCAGTTATGTGAGTTTTATCCCGTTTCCAACGAAATTCTCAGAGAAGTACAAATATCCACTTGCATATTCTACACAAAGTGTGTTTTGAAAGTGCTCCATCAAAAGATATGCTCAGCTCTGTGAGGTAAACTCAATCATCACAAAGAATTTTCTGAGAATGCTTCTGTCTTGTTTTAGGATGAAGTTATTTCCTTTACGACGATAGGCCTCAAAGAGGTCCAAATCTCCACTTGCAGATTCTGCAGAAGGAGTGTTTCAAACCTGAACTATCAGAGAAAGGTTCAACACTGTGAGTTGAATGCAAGCATCACGAAGAAGGTTCTGAGAATGCTTCTGTTTAGATAGGTGAGTTTTCTCCCGTATCCAACGAAATCCTCAGAGAGGTCCAAATATCCACTTGCAGATTCTACAGAAAGTGTGTTTTGAAACTGCTCCATCCAAAGGAATGTTGAGCTCTGTGAGTTGAACTCAATCGTCACAAAGTGTTTCCTGGGAATGCTACTGTCTAGTTTTTATGGGCAGTTATATCCTCTGCTGCCATAGGCCTCAAAGCGGTCCAAATCTCCCCTTTCAGATTCTACCAAAAGTGTGTTTCCAAACGGCTCTATCAAAGGGAATGTTCAACTCTGTGACTTGAATGCAATCATCACAAAGCAGTTTCTGAGAATGCTTCCATGTAGCTTTTATGAGCAGATATTTCCTTTTCCACCCCAGGCCTCGAAGCCCTCCAAATGTCCCCTTGCAGATGCTAGAAAGAGAGGGTTTCAAAGCTGCTCTATCAAAAGGAAAGTACAACTCTGTGAGTTGAATGCAAACATCACAAAGAAGTTCCTGAGCATGCTTCCGTTTAGCTTTTATGGGAAGATTATCCCTTTTCCATCGAAATGTTCAAAGAGGTCCACATATCCGCTTGCAGATTCCACCGAAAGAGTGTTTCCAAACTGCTGTATCAAAAGGAATCTTCAACTCCGTGAGTTGAATGCAATCATCACAAAGAAGTTTCTGACAACGCTTCTCTCTAGTTTTTATGTGAAGATATTTCCTTTTCCACCACAGGCCTGAAAGCGCTCCAAATGTCCACTTGGAGACTCTACGAAAAGAATGTTTCAAAACTGCTCTATGAAAAGCAATGTTATACTCTGGGAGTTGAACACAAGCCTCACAAAGGAGTTTCTGAGAATGCTTCTGTTTACTTTTTACGTGAAGATATTCCCGTTTCCAAAGAAATCTTCACAGACTTCCACCTATCCATTTGCAGATGCTAGAAAAAGAGAGTTTCAAAACTGCTCTATCAAAAGGAATGTTCAACTCTGTGAGTTGAATGCAGTCATCACAGAGAAGTTTCTGAGAAGGCTTCTGTCTAGATTTTATGTGAAGATATACCCGTTTCGAACAAAGGCCACAAAGTGCTCCAAATATCCACTTGCAGGTCCTCCAACAAGAGTGTTTCAAACGTGAACTATCAAAGGAAGGTTCAACTCTGGACTTTGAATGCAAACGTCAGAAAGATGTTTCTGCGAAAGCTTCTGTTTAGTTAGGTGACGTTATCCCGTTTCCAATGAAATCCTCAGAGAGGTCCAAATATCCACCTGCAGATTCTGCAAAAAGTGTGTTTCCAAACTACTCCACCCAAAGGCATGTTCAGCTCTGTGAGTTAAACTCAATCATCACAAAGTATTTTCTGAGAATGCTTCTGTCCAGTTTTTACATGAAGCTGTTTCCTTTACTACCGTAGGCCTCAAAGCGTTCCAAAACTCCACTTGAAGATACTACGAAAAGAGCGTTTCAACCTGAACTCACAAGGGAAGGTTCAACTCTGTCAGTTGAATGCCAACATCACAAAGAAGTTCTGGGAAAGTTTCTCTTCAGTTATGTGAGTTTTATCCCGTTTCCAACGAAATTCTCAGAGAAGTACAAATATCCACTTGCATATTCTACACAAAGTGTGTTTTGAAAGTGCTCCATCAAAAGATATGCTCAGCTCTGTGAGTTAAACTCAATCATCACAAAGTAATTTTCTGAGAATGCTTCTGTCTTGTTTTAGGATGAAGTTATTTCCTTTACGACGATAGGCCTCAAAGAGGTCCAAATCTCCACTTGCAGATTCTGCAGAAGGAGTGTTTCAAACCTGAACTATCAGAGAAAGGTTCAACACTGTGAGTTGAATGCAAGCATCACGAAGAAGGTTCTGAGAATGCTTCTGTTTAGATAGGTGAGTTTTCTCCCGTATCCAACGAAATCCTCAGAGAGGTCCAAATATCCACTTGCAGATTCTACAGAAAGTGTGTTTTGAAACTGCTCCATCCAAAGGAATGTTCAGCTCTGTGAGTTGAACTCAATCGTCACAAAGTGTTTCCTGGGAATGCTACTGTCTAGTTTTTATGGGCAGTTATATCCTCTGCTGCCATAGGCCTCAAAGCGGTCCAAATCTCCCCTTTCAGATTCTACCAAAAGTGTGTTTCCAAACGGCTCTATCAAAGGGAATGTTCAACTCTGTGACTTGAATGCAATCATCACAAAGCAGTTTCTGAGAATGCTTCCATGTAGCTTTTATGAGCAGATATTTCCTTTTCCACCCCAGGCCTCGAAGCCCTCCAAATGTCCCCTTGCAGATGCTAGAAAGAGAGGGTTTCAAAGCTGCTCTATCAAAAGGAAAGTACAACTCTGTGAGTTGAATGCAAACATCACAAAGAAGTTCCTGAGCATGCTTCCGTTTAGCTTTTATGGGAAGATTATCCCTTTTCCATCGAAATGTTCAAAGAGGTCCACATGTCCGCTTGCAGATTCCACCGAAAGAGTGTTTCCAAACTGCTGTATCAAAAGGAATCTTCAACTCCGTGAGTTGAATGCAATCATCACAAAGAAGTTTCTGACAACGCTTCTCTCTAGTTTTTATGTGGAGATATTTCCTTTTCCGCCACAGGCCTGAAAGCGCTCCAAATGTCCACTTGGAGACTCTACGAAAAGAATGTTTCAAAACTGCTCTATGAAAAGCAATGTTATACTCTGGGTGTTGAACACAAGCCTCACAAAGGAGTTTCTGAGAATTCTTCTGTTTACTTTTTACGTGAAGATATTCCCGTTTCCAAAGAAATCTTCACAGACTTCCACCTATCCATTTGCAGATGCTTGAAAAAGAGAGTTTCAAAACTGCTCTATCAAAAGGAATGTTCAACTCTGTGAGTTGAATGCAGTCATCACAGAGAAGTTTCTGAGAAGGCTTCTGTCTAGATTTTATGTGAAGATATACCCGTTTCGAACGAAGGCCACAAAGTGCTCCAAATATCCACTTGCAGGTCCTCCAACAAGAGTGTTTCAAACGTGAACTATCAAAGGAAGGTTCAACTCTGGACTTTGAATGCAAACGTCAGAAAGATGTTTCTGCGAAAGCTTCTGTTTAGTTAGGTGACGTTACCCGTTTCCAACGAAATCCTCAGAGAGGTCCAAATATCCACCTGCAGATTCTGCAAAAAGTGTGTTTCCAAACTGCTCCACCCAAAGGCATGTTCAGCTCTGTGAGTTAAACTCAATCATCACAAAGTATTTTCTGAGAATGCTTCTGTCCAGTTTTTACATGAAGCTGTTTCCTTTACTACCGTAGGCCTCAAAGCGTTCCAAATCTCCACTTGCAGATACTACGAAAAGAGCGTTTCAACCTGAACTCACAAGGGAAGGTTCAACTCTGTCAGTTGAATGCCAACATCACAAAGAAGTTCTGGGAATGTTTCTCTTCAGTTATGTGAGTTTTATCCCGTTTCCAACGAAATTCTCAGAGAAGTACAAATATCCACTTGCATATTCTACAAAAAGTGTGTTTTGAAAGTGCTCCATCAAAAGATATGCTCAGCTCTGTGAGTTAAACTCAATCATCACAAAGAATTTTCTGAGAATGCTTCTGTCTTGTTTTAGGATGAAGTTATTTCCTTTACGACGATAGGCCTCAAAGAGGTCCAAATCTCCACTTGCAGATTCTGCAGAAGGAGTGTTTCAAACCTGAACTATCAGAGAAAGGTTCAACACTGTGAGTTGACTGCAAGCATCACGAAGAAGGTTCTGAGAATGCTTCTGTTTAGATAGGTGAGTTTTCTCCCGTATCCAACGAAATACTCAGAGAGGTCCAAATATCCACTTGCAGATTCTACAGAAAGTGTGTTTTGAAACTGCTCCATCCAAAGGAATGTTGAGCTCTGTGAGTTGAACTCAATCGTCACAAAGTGTTTCCTGGGAATGCTACTGTCTAGTTTTTATGGGCAGTTATATCCTCTGCTGCCATAGGCCTCAAAGCGGTCCAAATCTCCCCTTTCAGATTCTACCAAAAGTGTGTTTCCAAACGGCTCTATCAAAGGGAATGTTCAACTCTGTGACTTGAATGCAATCATCACAAAGCAGTTTCTGAGAATGCTTCCATGTAGCTTTTATGAGCAGATATTTCCTTTTCCACCCCAGGCCTCGAAGCCCTCCAAATGTCCCCTTGCAGATGCTAGAAAGAGAGGGTTTCAAAGCTGCTCTATCAAAAGGAAAGTACAACTCTGTGAGTTGAATGCAAACATCACAAAGAAGTTCCTGAGCATGCTTCCGTTTAGCTTTTATGGGAAGATTATCCCTTTTCCATCGAAATGTTCAAAGAGGTCCACATATCCGCTTGCAGATTCCACCGAAAGAGTGTTTCCTAACTGCTGTATCAAAAGGAATCTTCAACTCCGTGAGTTGAATGCAATCATCACAAAGAAGTTTCTGACAATGCTTCTCTCTAGTTTTTATGTGAAGATATTTCCTTTTCCACCACAGGCCTGAAAGCGCTCCAAATGTCCACTTGGAGACTCTACGAAAAGAATGTTTCAAAACTGCTCTATGAAAAGCAATGTTATACTCTGGGAGTTGAACACAAGCCTCACAAAGGAGTTTCTGAGAATGCTTCTGTTTACTTTTTACGTGAAGATATTCCCGTTTCCAAAGAAATCTTCACAGACTTCCACCTATCCATTTGCAGATGCTACAAAAAGAGAGTTTCAAAACTGCTCTATCAAAAGGAATGTTCAACTCTGTGAGTTGAATGCAGTCATCACAGAGAAGTTTCTGAGAAGGCTTCTGTCTAGATTTTATGTGAAGATATACCCGTTTCGAACGAAGGCCACAAAGTGCTCCAAATATCCACTTGCAGGTCCTCCAACAAGAGTGTTTCAAACGTGAACTATCAAAGGAAGGTTCAACTCTGGACTTTGAATGCAAACGTCAGAAAGATGTTTCTGCGAAAGCTTCTGTTTAGTTAGGTGACGTTTTCCCGTTTCCAAGGAAATCCTCAGAGAGGTCCAAATATCCACCTGCAGATTCTGCAAAAAGTGTGTTTCCAAACTGCTCCACCCAAAGGCATGTTCAGCTCTGTGAGTTAAACTCAATCATCACAAAGTATTTTCTGAGAATGCTTCTGTCCAGTTTTTAGATGAAGCTATTTCCTTTACTACCGTAGGACTCCAAGTGGTCCAAATCTCCACTTGCAGATTCTACAAAAAGAGAGTTTCAACCTGAACTCACAAGAGAAGGTTCAAACCTGTGAGTTGAATGACAACATCACAAAGAAGTTTCTGAGAATGCTTTCCTCTTCAGTTATGTGAGGTTTATCCTGTTTCCAACGAAATTCTCAGAGAAATCCCAATATCCACTTGCATATTCTACAAAAGGTGTGTTTTGAAAATGCTCCATCATCTATGACAAACCCACAGCCAATATCATACTGAATGGGCAAA